>NC_000023.11:88826178-89129208 GCF_000001405.40 Homo sapiens | reverse complement strand
CTAAAAATAGAGCTAATATGCGATCCAGCAGTCTCTCTTCTGGGTATGTATATATCCAAAAGAAAAGAAATCAACATATCAAAGAGACATCTACACTGCCATATTTGTTGCAGCTCTGTTCAAAGTAGTCAAGATTTGGAAGCAACTTAAGTGCCCAACAACATAGGTGTGTCTAAAAGACATTTGGGAGGTGGACAAGATGGACGACTAGAAGCATCTAATGTATGCGGCTCTCATGGAGAGAAAAAAGGGAATGAGTAAATACAGGAACTTCAACTCAAGCATCCCTGTACTTGCATTGAGAATAATCAAGAAAATAACTTGACTCATGGAGAATGGAGACTAGCAAGGCAAGACAATGGCTTATGCAGGAGCTACATGGAACCAAGGGAACTCCCCCACCTGGGGAAGTGGTGAGTAAATGTGTGACCCTGGAAACCCATGCTTCACCCATGGATTTTTGCAACCCTTGGGTCAGGAAACTACCTCATGAACCCACTCTACCAGGGTCTTCAGTCTGACACACAGAGATACATGGAGTCTTGCATAGAATCAAAAAAGACCCAGAATGGCCCAAGCTATTACATGACTTTATGACTTTAAATTATACTGTAGAGGTACAGAAATCAAAATAGCATGATACAGAGCAGCTGCTCAGGCATGTGTGGAGATACAGGAGTGTTAGATACTCAGACTTTCCAGGCATCCCAACAAAAGAAGCTACTACTGTAGCCAATCGGGAAGTCAGGTCCCCATACATAACCCTAGGAAAGAGGCTGATTCCAAGGCACCAAGCAGTGACAGTCTGCAACCCCCACCTCCAAGGTACCTCACAGGATAAGAACCACAGACTTGAAATTCTAGCCAGCCACCTGTAGCATCACAATTCCCTAAGAGGGAGCCCCCAGGTAAAGGAGTGGGCCACCATCTTTGCTGTTTGGGTGACTTAACCATTCCAGTTTTCAGGCTTTGGAGAATCTGAGCCTACAGGGAGGCAGAGGCGGTCTCCCACCAAAGCATAGCTACTCCATGAGAACATGACCAGACTGCTTTTTAAAGCAGGTCTCTGACTCCATTCTTCCTCACTAGGTGAGATCTCCCTGGGACAGAGCTCCCAGAGTGGGGGCAGGCTGCCATATTTGCTGTTTCACAGCCATCAGTGGTGATATGTCTAGGTACTGGGAAATCCAAGGTGACTAGGGACTGGAGCAAACCCTCAGCATACTGCAGCAGCCTACAGAAAAGTGGCCAGACTTTTACATGGGTGCCTATTCCCATATCTCTAGCCAGCCCCCACCAGGGCTATTGAGCCAATAGCAACTCAGCAACTCCCTGGTCAGAGCTTCCAGGGGCAACTGAAAGCCTCTCTGCCACTGCCTCTGCAGTGGAATTGTCCTTGCTACTCTCGGACTAATGAAGGAGCAAAGATGCTAAGTACCTTGTCCACAACTCCAACAAGCTGGAGTCAACCCAAGGAGAGGCCAGTCTATCTCCCATGGCTCCCACACACCCTCCACTGCTCATCACCAAACAGAAAACCCCTGACTTGGACCCACAGCACAGACCCACCATCCTGGGCTGATAGCACTGAACTATTGCTGACTTGCATCTCTCTGGGGTGTACTTCCTAAGAGACAAGAAAAATGGCCTTGGCAGCAAGGCAGCTGATGTGAATCCCAGAGGATTTGGTGTGGAAGCATCGGTAGCAAAGTGTGGCCAGGGATGGCCAATCCTCTAGGCTTGACTTGCTCCCATGAGACACTTTAGCCCTAGGGGAACTGTCAGACCTGATCTCTGCAGGACAATTTTGCACATCAGATGAGGCTGGTTCGACCTGAGCACTCCTTGGTCTGCTGGCCCCTATCACATCCCCAGACTGGTCATACCTGCTTAAAGGGTAGTCACAGGTACCCCAGGGACACACACCATAGCTTCTGCACTGACAGAATGTACCTGACTGTTGGAGAGCTCCAGCAAGATGGCCCCTATTGCTGTGCACCAAGCTGCACATTCCTTCTCCATATTGCAGCTACCCATGAGCCCGCAGTTACCCGAGAACCCACAGCAACTCCCCAAGTAACATTGCTTGTGTATGTCTGCACAGGCAGGTTTTGCTTTACTTGTCTCACCAGCAAATGAGAGTGCAGTATGCCCCCCACTCTACTGACTTCTATTGCAGATAGAACATTGGTGGGCATTAAGCCAGTAAGCCTCATCCTCACCAGTGCCTCACCCATGTGCTAACTGACCAATCACTCCTGCTTGATGGAGCCCCCAGGGGAAGAAGTGGCCCACCATCTTTGCTGTTTGGGTGACTTAACAGCAAAGATGGTGAAAGAAAGAACATTCAAATTTAGAGAAAGCTCCCAGACCTGTCCCAGGCAGCACCCCACCTTAAGCCAACACCACCACCAGTACAACTGCACCCACAATTTTCAGCAGGTGCCCCCTGCTTCCCCCACAGCTTCCTTGTCTCTGCCACTATGGTGGATGCCCACAGGGAGGCAGGAAAGCCTGCAGGGCAGCAGACACCTTCACAACCACTAGCACTCTGCTGCAGCTGCCACACTTCACCCTTCCCAGGGCAGTGGATTATAAACCTCAAGAAGCCAGATAACAAAGTTTGGGCTTAATACAAGTCCCCCAGAGTTAGAGAACACAGTCCAGGAGTTAGGAGCTGATTGTTGGCTCCCTAAAAATGTCCCCAAATTGAAGGCAATCAACTGAATCCACTTCATATCACAGTCAAACCCTCAATATTATTAAATAGGAAAAAAAAAGACATCCAAAGGTCAGCAAACTCAAAGATTAAGATATATAAACCCACAAAGGTGAGAAAGAATTAGCACAAGAATGCTGAAAACTCAAAAGGCCAGAGTGTATTCTTTCCTACAAATGAGTGCATCACCTCTCCAGCAAGGGTTCAGAACTGGGCTGAGGCTGAGATGGCCGAAATGACACAAATAGAATTCAGAATATGAATAGGTACAAAGTTCATTGAGCTACAGGAATATGTTGTAACCCAATACAAGGAAGCCAAAAGTCATAATAAAACATTGCAGGAGCTAACAGATAAAATAGTCAGTGAAGAGAAGAACATAACTGACTGGATAGAGCTAAAAAACAGACTACAATAACTTTATAATGCAATCACAAGTATTAATAACAGATAGACCAAGCAGAAAATAAAATCTCAGAGCACAAAGACTTGATTTCTGAAATAATACAGGCAGACAAGAATAGAGAGAAAAGAATAAGAAGAAATGAACAAAACTTCCAAGAAATATGGGATTATGTAAAGAGACAAAATCTATGACAGATTGGTGTACCTGAAAGAGATGAGGAGAAGAAAACAAACTTGAAAAACATGTTTTAGAACAACACCCATGAGAACTTCCTCAACCTAGCTAGAGAGGACACATTTAAATTCAGAAAATTCAGAGAAGTTCAGTAAGATACCTGACAAAAACATCATTCTCAAGCCATGAAATCATCAGATTCTCCAAGTTGAAATGAAAGAAAAATAATGTTAAAGACAGCTAGAGAGAAAGGCCAGGTCACACACAAAGGGAAGACCATCAGACTAACAGCAGACATCTCAGCTGAAACCCTAAAAGTCAGAAGAGATTGGGGGCCAATATTCAACATTTTTAAAGAAAATAATCCAACCTCGAACTTTATATTTGGCCAAACTAAGCTTCACAAGAAAAAAAGAAATAAGATTATTTTCAGACAAACAAATAGTGAGGTAATTTGTTATTAGTAGACCTGCCTTACCAGCGCTGCTGAAAAAAGCACTAAATGTGGAAAGGAAAGATTGTCACCATCCACTACAAAAACATACTGAAGTATACAGACAAGTGTATACAAGTGACACTATAAGGCAACCACATAAACAAGTCAGCAAATAACCAGCTAATGTCATGTTGACAAGATCAAATCCCCACATATTAATACTAACCTTAAATGAAATTAGATAAATGCCTGAGTTAAAAGTTACAGAGAGGCAAGCTGGATAAATAACTAAGACCCATTGGTATGCTGTCTTCAAGAGACCCATTTCATATGCAATTACACACATCAGCTCAAAATAAAAGAGTGAAGAAAAATCTACAAGAAAATGAAAAATAGAAAAAAGCAGGGGTTGCAATCTCAGTTTCTGACAAAACAGACTTTAAACAACCAAAAATCAAAAAAAGGCAAATAAGGGCATTTATTACACAATGGTAAAGGGTTCGGTTCCACAAGAAGATCAAACTATCTTAAATATATATACACCCAACACAGGAGCACCCACATTTATAAAGCAAGTTCTTAGAGACCTTCAAAGAAACTTTGACTCACACACAATAATAGTGGAAGATTTTAACACCCCACTGAAAATATTACACAGATGATTGAGATAGAATATTAACAAAGACATTCAGGAGCTGAACTTAGCACTTGATCAAATGAACCTGATAGATATCTACAGAACTCTCCACCCCAAAACAACAGAATATACATTCTTCTCATCACCACATTGCACATACTCAAAATCTATCACATAATCAGAAGTAAAACAATCCTCAGCAAATGCAAAATAAGTAAAATAATAGCAAACAGTGTCATGGACAACAATACCATCATATTAGAAATCAAGACTAAGAGATTCACTCAAAATCATACAATTACATAGAAATTGAATGACCTGGTTCTGAATGACATTTGGGCAAATAATAAAATTAAGACAGAAATCAAGAAGTTCTTTGAAACTATTGAGAACAAAGCTACAAGATACCAGAATCTCTAGGACATAGCAAAGGAAGTTTTAAGAGGGTTGTTTATAGCAGTAAATGCCCTCTTTTAAAACTTGAAAAGATCTTAAGTTAACAACCTAACATCACAACTATAAGAATTAGAGAATCAAGAGCAAACAAATCCAAAAGCTAGCAGAAGACAAGAAATAACCAAAGTCAGAGCTGAACTGAAGGAGATTGAAACACAAAAATACCTCCAAAAGATCAACAAATTCAGAAGCAGTTTTTTTCAAAACATTAATATAACAGGTAAACTGCTAGCTAGACTAATAAAATAGAAAAGAAAAAGATTAAAATAAACACAATCAGAAATGACAAGGTGGATATTACCATTGACCCCACAGAAATACAAATAACCATCAGAGAACATTATGCACATTTATTTGCACACAAACTAGAAACTCTAGAAGAAATCAATAAACTCCTGAACACAAATACCCTCCAAAGGCTAAGCAAGGAAGAAATTTATTTCCTTAACAGACCAATAACGAGCTCTGAAGTTGAGTCATTAATAAATAGTCTACCAACCCAAAATAGCCCAGGACCAGATGGATTCACAATGAATTCTACAACTTTCACAAAGAAGAGCTGGTACTGTTGAAACTATTTCAAAATATTAAGAAAGAGGGACTCCTTCCTAAACCATTCTATGAGGACAGCATCATCCCAATAGCAAAACCTGGCAGGGACACAAAAGAAAAAAAATCTTCATACCAATATTTTTGATGAACAGTGATGCAAAAATCCTTAAGAAAATACTGGCAAATGAAATCAAGAAGCACATCAAAAAGCTTTTCCAGCATTATCAAGTAGGCTGTATTCCTGGGATGCAAGCTTGGTTCAATATACACAAATCAATAAATATGATTCATCACATAAACAGAACTAGAAACAAAAACACATGATTATCTCAATAGATGCTGAAGCGGCTTTCAATAAAATTCAACATTCATTCATGTTAAAATTCTCAATAAACTATGTACTGAAGAAACATACTTCAAAAAAATGAGAACCATATATGACAAACCCACAGCCAACATCACATGGAATGGGAAAAAGCTGGAAGCATACCCCTTGAAAAAGAGGACAGGACAAGGATGCCCTCTTTCACCATTCTTATTCAAATATAGTATTGGAAGTCCTGGCCAGGGCAATCAGGAAAGAGAAATAAATAATGGGCATCCAAACAGGCAGAGAGTAAGTATAACTATCCTTATTTGCAGATGACATAATTCTATTTCTGGAAAACCTCAATCTTAGCCCAAAAGCTTCTTAAGCTGACAAACAACTTCAGCAAAGTCTCAGAATACAAAATCAGTGTGCAAAAATCATTAGCATTCTTGTACACCAACAACAGTCAAGTCAGGAGCAAACTCTTATTCACAATTCCTACAAAAAAATGTCTAGGAACACAGCTAACTAGGGAGGTGAAATAACTCTACAAGGAAAACTAAAAACCACTGTTCAAATAAATTAGAGATGACACAAAAGAATGAAGGAACATTCCATGCTCACAGATAGAAAGAATTTTGTTAAAATGGCCATACTACCCAAAGCAATTTGTAGATTCAGTTTTATTCTCACTATACTACCATGGAGATTCTTCACAGAACTAGAAAGCAAACTATTTTAAAATTCACATGAAACCCAAAAACAGCCCAAATAGCTAAGGGAATCTTAAGCAAAAGGAAAAAAGCTGGAAGCATCACGCTACCCAACCTCAAACTAACTACAGGGCTACAGTAACCATGGTACTGGCACAAGAACAGAAACATAGACCAATGGAACAGAGTGGAGAACCAGAAATAAGACTGCACACCTACAACAATCTGATCTTCAACAAAGCTGACAAAAACAAGCAAAGGGGAAAGAATTCTGTATTTAAAAAATAGTGCTGGAATAGCTACCTAGCCATATGCAGAAGATTGAAACTGGACTCTTTCCTCACACCATATAAAAAAATAACTCAAGATAAATTAAAGACTTAAACATAAAATCCAAAACTATAAAAGCCCTTGAAGATGACCTAGGCAATACCATACAGGACATAGGTATGGGCAAAGATTTCATGATGAAGACACCAAAAGCAATTGCAGAAAAAGCAAAATTTGATGAATGGGATCTAATTAAACTAAAGAGCTTCTACACAGCAAAAAAAAAAAAAAAAAAAAAAAAAAAAAAAAAACAGTCAACTAAATAATCAGACGATCTACAGAATGGGATAAAAGTTTGGCAAACTATGCATCTGACTAAGGTCTAATATCCTAATTTGTTATGGAACTTACACAAATGTACAAGAAAAAGAAAACAACCTCATTTAAAAAGTGGACAAATGACATAAACAGAGACTTTTCAAAAGAAGACATACACGTGGAAAACAATCATATGAAATAAAGCTCAGTATCACTAATCATTAGAGAAATACAAATCAAAACCATAATGAGACACCATCTTACACTATTCAGAATGGCTATTATTAATCAGTCAAAAAATAACAGATGCTAGCAAGATTTGGAGAAAAATAAATGCTTATACACTGTTTTGGGGAGTGTAAATTAATTTAGCCATTGTGGAAGACAGTGTGGCTATTTCTCAAAGGTGTAAAGACAGAAATATCATTTAACCCAGCAATCCCATTACTGGCATATACCCAAAGGAATATAAATAATTATGTTACAAAGACACATGTATGTGTATATTCATTGCAACACCACTCACAATAGCAAAGACATGAAGTCAACCTAAATGCCCGAAAATGATAGACTGGATAAAGAAA
This sequence comes from Homo sapiens, assembly GCF_000001405.40. Lineage (NCBI taxonomy): Eukaryota > Metazoa > Chordata > Mammalia > Primates > Hominidae > Homo > Homo sapiens. The sequence continues at coordinate 89,121,633 of NC_000023.11, read as the reverse complement.
ATGTGGTACATATACACCATGGAATACTATGAAGCCATTTTAAAAATTAGATTATATCTTTTGCAGGTATATGGATGGAGCTGGAGGCCTTTATCCCTACCAAACTAACGCAGAAACAGAAAATCAAATATTGCATGTTCTTACTTATAAGTGGGCGCTAAATGATGAGAACACATGGACACATAGAGAAGAATACACACTGGGGCTTATTGGAGAGTGGAGGGTGGGAAGAGTGAGAGGATCAGAAAAAATAACTAATGAGTACTAGGCTTAATTCTTGGATGATGAAATAATCTGTGCAACAAACCCCTATGATACAAATTTACCTATGTAACAATCCTAAACGTGTAACCCTGAACTTAAAATAAAAGTTAAAAAAGAGGCCAGTTACAGTGGCTCGTGCCTGTAATCCCAGCACCTTGGGAGTCATAGACCAGCTGATCACTTGAAGTCAGGAGTTCGAGACCAGCCTAGCCAACATGGTGAAACCCCGTGTCTGCTAAAAAAACAAAAATTAGCCGGATGTGGTGGCATGTGCCTGTAGTCCCAGCTACTTGGGAGAGTGAGGCAGGAGAATTGCTCAGACCCAGGAGGTGGAAGTTGCAGGGAGCTGAGATCATACCACTGCACTCCAGTCTGGGCAACAGGGCGAGACTTTATCTCAAAAATAAAAGTTAAAAAACAATAATAAAATGTGGTACTTACACACAATGGAGTACTATTCAGCCATAAAAATAATGAGATTCAATTATTTGCAACAATTTGGGTGCAACTGGAGGTCATTATGTTCAGTAAAATAATCTAGGTGCAAAAAGACAAGCATCACATGTTCTTTCTCATTTCTGGGATCTAAAACTCAAAACAGCTAAAACCTTGAAGATAGTGTGAGAATGGTTATCAGAGGCTGGTAAGAACAGTGAGAGGGTAGAGGGGAAGGAGGGAATGATTAATGAAACCAAAATAATTGTTATAATTAATAAATATGGCCTCATATTTGATGGCACAACAGGGTGACTATAGTAAATAATAGTTTAATTTTACATTTTGAAATGACTAAAATAATATAATTGGATTGTTTGTGGCACAAAGGATGCTTGAGGGGATGAATACCCCATCTTCCATGATGTGATTATTATGCATTTTAAGCCTGAGTCAAAATATTTCAAGTGCCCTATAAATATAAACACTTACTATGTACCCACAAAAATTAAAAGTTTAAAATTTTTTAAAAAGTCTCATTTGTGTATTTTTTATTTTGTCACCTGTAATAAATTCTTACTCAAATACTTTTTGCCAAGGCCTATGTCTAGATGAGCCTTTTTTAGATTTTTTTCTAGTATTTTTAAAGTTACCAGTTTTTTGTTTGTTTGCTGTTTTTGTTTTTTGTGTTTTTTTTGAGACTGAACCTCACTCTGTGGCCCAGGCTGAAGCACAGTGGCACAATCATGGCTCACTGCATCCTCGAACTACTGATCTCTAGCAATCCCTCCACTTCAACCTTCCAAGTAGCCAGGACTACACCTGCACATTACCATGCCCAGCTAATTTTTATTTTATTTTATTTTATTTTATTTTATTTTATTTTTATTTTGTAGAGATGGGGGTCTCACTATGTGTTAAGGCTGATCTCTGGCCTCAAGCAATCTTTCCACCTCAGCCTCCCAAAATGTTGGGTTTACACGTGTTAGTGAACTCACCTGGCCTAGTTTCAGGTCTTAAATCCAAGTATGGAAAACATCTTGAAATGATTTTTGTATGTGGTGAGAGATATGGGTCGAGTTTGATTCTTTTGCATGTGGCAATCCAATTTTTTCATCATTATTTATTAAAAAGGATGTCCTTTTCCTGTGGATGTTTTTGTAGAATTGGCAAAGATCAGTTGGTGGAGTATGTAACTTTATTTTAGGGTTCTCTATTCTTTTATCCTGATCTACGTGTCTGGTTTTATACCAGTACCATGATGTTCTGTTTACTATAGCATTGTAGTAAAATTTTAATTCCAGCAATGTGATGGACTTCAAATGGAGCTGGAGGACATTATCCTTAGCAAGCTACTACAGAAACTGAAAACCAAAAACCACTATTCTTCCTCATAAGTGAGAGAGCCCCATGTCTCCAGGCTTGATTTATTCTTTGGATTGCTTTAGGTATTCAGGCTCTTTTTTGATTCCATATCAAGTATAGAATTGTTTTTTCTAATTCTGTGAAAAATGACATTGGCATTTTGATAGAAATTACATTGAACCTGTATATTACTTTTGACAGTAGAAGAATAGCATTTTTTAAAGGGTCCTTGGACTTTTCACAAAATAAACTTTATTCTGGTCCATAAAATATATCTCAATGTTTTTAATCAAAATTATGTAGAGTGTGTTTTCTGAACACAATGGAATAAAACTAGAAATCAAAAACAGAGACAAGAGAACAGCCTCTAATTACATGAAAATTAACATACATCATATTATTTAAAAACACACATCAGTAACATGAAAGAGGAAGTCACAAAGGAAATAAAAATATAAACATTGAAGAACAACAACATATCAAAATATGGAAGATATAACTAAGTCAGTGCTGAGAGGGAATTTTATAACACTAAATGCTTACGTTGCAATCATGGAATGCTTTCAAATATTCATTCAACTTATTACCTCAATAAACCAAAATAAATCTAAAGCAAGCTGAAGGAAGAGAAAAATGAAGATAAGAACAGAAAACAATAATATTCAATGTAGAAAATATCAATAAAATTAATGAAACAAAAGCTAATACTTTGAAAGAATCAAAGACACTCATAAACTTCTAGCAAGGCTGACAAAAAAGGAAGGACAAATAAATCACTAATATCAGGAATAAAATAGAAGATATCACTAGAGATCCTGCAGCCACAGTAATAAGGGAATACTATGAAAAAAAATTCTTATTTATTTTGTAAGTCAGAAAAAAATGCATCAATTCCCCTAAAACCAAATATTACCAAAAGTCAACCAAGATAAAATAGACAATCAGAATAGACTGATGACCATACAATAAATTAATGATTAAAACCCTTGTGAAAAGCTAACTAACTTATAGGTCCACATTATTCCAGTGTAGCATCACAACAAATATTTAAAAAAAAATTAACAACAATTTTTCATAATCTATTCCAGAAATAGAAGAGGATGAAACATTTCCAAATTCACTTTATGAGGCCAGTGTTAATCCGACACCAAGGCCTGACAAAGACATATGATGTGGTTTGGCTGTGTCCCCAGGCAAATATCATCTTGAACTGTAGTTCCCATAATCTTCACATGTCATGGGAAGGACCCAGTGGAAGGTAATTGAATCATGGAGACAGTTACCTCCATGGTGTTCTTGTCATAATAAGTTATCACAAGATCTGATGGGTTTTATAAGGGAATTTTCTCTCTTCATTCTGCATTTCCCTTGGCTGCCACCATGTGAAGAAGGACATGTTTGCTTCCATTTCCATGATTGTAAGTTTCTTGAGCCTCCCCAGCCCTGTGGAACGGTGAGTCAATTAAATCTCTTTTCTTTATAAATTACCCAGTCGTGGGTATGCCTTTATTAGCAGCAAGAGAAAGAAATAATACAGTACATTTGTACCAGTAGAGTGGGATTCTGCTGTAATGATACCTGAAAATGTGGAAGTGGAACTGGGTAACAAGAAGAGATAGGAACAGTTTGGAGGGCTCAGAAGACAGAAAGATGTGGGGAAGTTTGGAACTTCCTAGAGACTTGTTGAATGGCTTTGACTAAAATGCTGATAGTGATATGGACAATAAAGTCCAGACTGAGGTGGTCTCAGATGGAGATGAAGAACTTGGAAACTGGACTAAAGGTTGGTATTGCTATGTTTTAGCATAGGACTGGTGGCATTTTGAACCTGCCCTAGAGATCTGTAGAACTTTGAACTAAAGATAGATGATTTAGGTTATCTGGCAGAAAAAAAATTAAGCAAAAAAGCATTCAAGAGGTGACAGAGCATAAAAGTTTGAAAAATTTGCAGCCTGAGAATGCAGTAGAAGAGAAAAACACATTCAAGCCTACTGCAGAAAATTGTATAAGTAATGAGGAGCCAAATGCTAATTGCCAAGACAATGAGGAAAATGCCTCCAGGGCATGTCAGAGGCATCTCAGCAGCCCCTTCCTTTACAGGCCCAGAGTCCTAAGAGGGAAAAATGGTTTACTGGGCTGGGTCCAGAGACCTGCTGCTGTGTGCAGCCTCAGGACTTGGTGTACTCTTTTCCAGCTGCTCCAGCTGTGGCTAAAAGGGGCCAAGGTACAGCTAAGGCTGTGGCTTCAGAGGGTGCAAGCCTCAACCCTTGGCAGATTCCACATGGTGTTAAGCCTGTGGGTGCACAGAAGCCAAGAATTGAGGTTGTGTAACCTCCACCTAGATTTCAGAGGATGTATTGAAATGCCTGGATGTCCAGGTAGAAGTTTGCTGCAGAGTGGAGGCCCTCATGCAGAACCTCTGCTAAGGCAGTGTGGAAGGAAAAATGTGGGGTTGGAGCCCTCACACAGAGTCCCCACTGGGACACTGCTTAGTGGAGCTGTGAGAAGATAGCCACTGTCCTCCATAACCCAGAATAGTAGATCCACTGACTGCTTGCACCATATACCTGGAAAAGTCACCAACACTCAATGCCAGCACATGGAAGCAGCCGAGAGGGGCACTGTACCCTGCAAAGCCACATAAGTGGAGCTTCCCGAGGCCATGGGAGACTACCTCTTGCATCAGCATGTGGTGGAGGTAAAACAAGCAGTCAAAGGAGATTATTTTGGAACTTTAAGGTTTAATGACTGCCCTAATGGATTCTGGACTTGCATGGGTCCTGTAGCCCCTTTGTTTTAGCCAATTTCTCCCATTTGGAATAGGTGTGTTCCAATGGCTGTACCCCATTTTGTCTAGGAAGTAACTAACTTGCTTTTGACTTTACAGGCTTATAGGCAGAAGGGATTTGCCTCGTCTCAGATGAAACTTTGGACTTGGAGTTTTGAGATAATCCTGGAATGAGTTGATTTGGGGAACTGTTAGTAAGGCCTGAATGGTAGGACATGAGAGTTGGGAGTATCCAGGAGTAGAATGATATGGGGGTGTTTACCCCTAAGCTGCTGTTCTCATAATAGTGAGTAAGTTCTCAAGAGATCTAATCGTTTTATTAGGGGCTTTTCCCTCCTTCACCCTGCACTTCTCCTTGCTGCCGCCATGTAAAGAAGGACATTTTTCCTTCCCCTTCCACAATGATCATGAGTTTTCTGAAGCTTCCCCAGCCCTGAGGAACTGTGAGTCAATTAAACCTCTTTCCTTTAAAAATTACTCAGTCTTGGGTATGTCTTTATTAGCAACATGAAAACAGACTAATACAACACATTAACAATAACAACAATAAACCAGTGTTTAACTCTGTTTGTGCATACACAAACCTACACATGTAATAAAATAATATGGAATTCATTATACACACACACACATAAATGAGTGTGAATAAAACTAGAGGAATCTAAATAAGAATGGTAAATTGTATCAATACTAATATCCTGGCTATGGTATTGTGCCACAACATTGCAGAATGTTATCTTGTGGGAAAGTGCCAAAGAGTAAAACAAATATTTCTGTATTATTTCTTACAAATGGATGTGAAAATCAACAGTTGTCTCACAAAAAAATTTTAATTGAATATATATATCATAGTGAAAAGACTAGTTTAAAACTCAAAAAAAATCACAGAATCATGAGGTTTGAACTGTACAGTACCATAAGGATTATCTTGGCTAACACCTTATTTTATGGTTGAGGAAATAGATACAGAGAGACTTCTCTCAAAGTCACAAAAAAAAGTTAGTGATAGAATCAGAAAATCTGAGCTTGTCTCATCTCTGTCATTTTTGAGCTATGACCTTATACAACCCCTTTAACTTCATTTAAATGGTTTCTTTATTTGTAAATTAGGGATAATAGAATCATCCCCAACAACCTTACAAAATATTTCAAAAGGATCAAGTGAGATAATCTATGTAAAATTGCTTTTAAAACTATAAATTTCTATATGCTTCAGAATTATGAAAATAATAATTAGAAAAGTGCTTTAAAAGTTAGCAACAGCTCCATACTAATGCGAAAAATTGTGATAACCAGATGCTAAGAATAGGTTTGTTAAAAAAAAAAAGATTTTTTTTATTTTAAATCTGTGTCAGCTTAATTTTTATTTGTTTTAAAGATTTCTCTTATGGAAGATGTGGATTTTTATTTAATTCAACTTGACCCATAGAAAGGAATTTTGTTTTATTACAAATAAGCATTGTTTGATTTGCTTTCTTGGATTTACTACCCATTTAATATTTTAAGCAAAACTCTAGAAACATCATCCCAGATTAATGTTGTTAATGCATGCTTTGCCCCCGCGCTCAAAAAAGTTTATGTTTTTCAGCCAATTATTGTTAAAACATTCTTCAGCTAAGAGTTTATTCATGACATATAAACATTCACGGTATAGAAAATTCAGAAGTTAAGTATGTTTTATTTACATTATTTCTTTTTTTATTATGCTTTAAGTTTTAGGGTACATATACACAATGTGCAGGTTAGTTACATATGTATACATGTGCGATGTTGGTGTGCTGCACCCATCAACTCGTTATTTAACATTAGGTATATCTCCTAATGCTATCCCTCCCCCCTGCCCCCACCCCACAACAGTCCCCAGTGTATGATGTTCCCCTTCCTGTGTCCATGTGCTCTCATTGTTCAATTTCCACCTATGAGTGAGAACATGCGGTGTTTGTTTTTTTGTCCTTGAGATAGTTGCGGAGAATGATGGTTTCCAGCTTCATCCATGTCCCTACAAAGGACATGAACTCATCATTTTTTCTGGCTGCATAGTATTCCATGGTGTATATGTGCCACATTTCCTTAATCCAGTCTATCATTGTTGGACATTTGGGTTGGTTCCAAGTCTTTGCTATTGTGAATAGTGCCGCAATAAACATACTTGTGCATGTGTCTTTATAGCAGCATGATTTATAATCCTTTGGGTATATACCCAGTAATGGGATTGCTGGGTTTCGACTTTACTTTGTGTATTAAATAATCAACTCACATTTTTATCAGGTGAACTTTTAAATAGTACATCTGTTCCTTTTTCCTATGCACAAGCCATACTAGGGGAAATGAAATAATATTCTGGTTACATATTGAGGAATTCAATCCTTTCTCTACCTCTTCCACGTGCCTATTGCCTAAATTAAATGGTCCATAATGATCCTATTCAATTATTTTAAGAAAAGTTGAATCAGCTTAGTAGACTATTAACCTTGCAGGGTGCAAGGCTATACAAATTGCTAGCTAGCAAACTTTTAGGCATTAGTAAGTACTTATTTCAGAGGAAAAAATGATTATGTTCTATTAAATAGTTCATTACAAAAGTAAATATAGCATTTTAACATTTTTATTATCCTTAAGAAAACAAATGATCTTTGTCAACTATTTGTAAGGTAAAAATCAAATAGGGTTTCTTCCAAACCCCACTGTTCAATTAAAAATTTGTGAGGCTTTACATGGTGCAGGTTGTATCTGCAGGGGTTTACTATATATTAATATGAGAAGATTTAGCCTCTTATTTTCTGTATATAAATTATTTATATTTTATCAAGTTATTTTAAATGTTTCAATAAATGTTCAGACCTATAGTGACCATGCCTGACAAATTTTCAATTAAATTTCAATAATGTACGCATGGTATTTCTTAGGAACTTGAAGAATAACAGAATTGTTTTAGTTTGCTATATTAATAAAGTTTAGTAATCAAAATGAAGTCTAGGCATTAAATTTTTGGATTTTTATTAATATCTCTTTTGTAAGCAATTTCACATTAATAGCTTTATACCAAACTTGCTATAAAGGTGAATCTAGTTGTTAAGACATTGAATATTAATGTTTTCATGTCTCAAGAGATTCAAAGGTGATGTGTTAAGGTTTTGCTGCTATTAAATTTATAAAAAGTTATAGCCATAGGTAAAATTTAAAGCATTTGAACCACATGTAGATTACATCATAAAACAATTTTTTGGGTGCTATAAAAGTTGAATACTTGCTGGATTTAAACACATAAAAATACAAAATGATGTGGGCAGCATGTATAGATTTTTTTAAGCAATATTAAACTCAGCTACTAGTCCTTGTAAGACAAAGATAGTGTTTCTTTGATGATTGAGTACCAGCTTGGTCTAGGATGCATAATTGTGTTTCAATACACAGTTGTGATTAATTTTCAAAATGCTGCTGCTCTGTTGAACATCATTAAAAAATTATACTGACAAGAAGACCCAATTTGTACCCTAAAAAGGAAAATTTTATGGAAATGCTGTAAGAAAAAGGTAAGCAGTTAATTCTATAAATTTTAAGTAAACTATTGTGAGATGATATGCAACAGTGGAGCAACTAAAAACTTAAATTTATTCATCTTTATTATCGGCAAATCAAACAACTGGGGGTGCAATATAGTATAGCATAACAGTTAAATACACATGCTTTGAGGCCTCGTCATTGACTGAGGTTCTGGCTTTTACAGTTAATGACTAGGCATCATTTGGAAAAGTATTTTGTTATAGTTGCCTCATCTATAAATTTGTAAAAATAATAATACATATTTTAATGGTGTTATAAGGATAAATGAGATATTGCATTGACATTAGGCCTGGCACATAGTAAGCACTCAAGAAATTTAAACTATAATATATTAATGTAATATAGCTAAAAATGTAAATCATTTGGATAATCTACCTACTCTACTAGGGGCATACTCAAGGGTTGGAAATAATTATTATATGAAGAACTAGAAATAACTGAAGGGGCCAATATGAAGAATAGCAAGTAGGATATTAGCCTATGGCCAGGATAGATGTTAATTTTGCACTGGCAGAGAAGAATAATGACTTGTCTGACCCTTGAGCTATGGGCCAGTTGAGAATGATGTGTGTGCATTTTTGTACATCTGTCTTTGGTTGGCTAGGAAAGGGTGACAGGGAGATGAGACAGTGAACATTAATAAGCTGAATTAATCTAAGGTTTAATAGGTAGCATAGCCAAATACATAATTAAAAATCTTTATAATTATGATTATAACTAAATTATTTGGTACTTTTCAAAATTCCTGACCATAGTCTTTATCATGAAAACTTGCCCCACTTAGCCCAAGGAGAAATTCTAACCCTGTAAATACATGGAAGTAAATTTTCCATTGATGCCTATAATGAGTGAATGAAAATAAGAGAGATGTCTGCTGAGATAAAGAAATGAAGAATTTTTAGAAGAGTAGTTAATGTGTAGATTAATATAACTAAGGAAAAGAACATTTAATTAAATGTTAATTTAATTTACATTTTTTTTTAATTGAGCTATTCGATGTGTACAACTAAAGTACTATTTAAACAAAGTCAGGAACCAATATATTTCAAATGTTTTTTAAGAAAAATTTTAATGCACAATTTCAAGAAACTTAAGACTTTTCTAGAATTTTGATAGATGAAATAAAAATCATGAAACTGACTGAATAAACCAATGGTAAATTTTTACAGCTCTCCAATATATTTTCATACTGTAAAATGAAATTAGGGCATCCAAGATATACAATTATTAGTGTACTTGGTAATACTCTCTAAATTTGTAATAAAGATCAGTGTCTTACCGAAAAGTTTTATATATGAAACATAGCTGCTATGTTTGCATTGCATTTGCAAACATGTTTTAAGCTGTTGAAAATTTAAGGTCTGTCAAGCAATGGAAATTGAAGTCACAGGACAAATATCTTCAAAATATCCAGCAACAAAAGAAACAGTTACATGCCAACTTAGCCAGACATTCTTGCCATTTGTGACATAAGGTGCAGTGCAAAAATGGCTTGTGTGAGATCCTTGAACTAGTCAGAGAAGACAATGGCATTCAAAACAAAAGTTGCAAAATTGTCTCCTCTAGTAGGAAAAATGTATTGGGTAAATGAATCAAAAAAAGATGTATATATATTTTAAGTATATTTAGATATATATGTATATACACACATATATATAAATTACTAAAAGCAGCAGCTCTGATATAGCTTTGAGACAGCTATACTAGAAAGGCAAGAATTCATTTAATTCTAATAATTATAAAATCGACTGAATTTTTTGATACTTTTCTAACAGGTGAAGCAAAAGCTGATGCTCAGATGCCAGAAGCCATGAAATTGATCACAATAAAAACATCACACTTGTTTGAAGACTCAGAGCTTTAATATGGTACTGTCAAGTTGTAAAAATGTTTACCAAGATATAGGAGTCTTTCTATTTAAAAATAAATGCTATCAAAACACCTAAATAACATTAAAGCAACTAATGTTCTTTTTATTTTATAGACAGAATTTCACTCAGTAACCAAGGTTGGTGTACAGTAGTGCAATCATAGCTCACTGCAGCCTCAACCTCCTGGACTCAAGCAATCATGCTGCCTCAGCCTCCCAAGTATCTGGGGCTATGGCCATGTACCACCAAGCCCAGATAATTGTTTATTTAATTTGTTGGTAGAGATGGGGGTCTCATTATGTTGACCAGGTTGGTCTTGATCTGCTGGCCTCAAGTGCTCATGCCACCTCAGCCTCCCAAAGTACTGGGATTACAGGCCAGCAATGTGCACCACATTGCTGGCTTAAAGTGACAAATACGTAATATTTTCAAATGTATTGCAAAATAATACATGGACCATTCTGTGAACTGTGACCTGTATTACTACAGGAATGCATTTAATATTTCTGGAATCTAATTTTACAACAATGTTAATGAAATTAAGCTATTTCTTCATAGAGTTAAAGATACAAGAGTGGTTTCCTTTTTTGATGAAATCATTAGCAATATTATAATTATATAATTTATTGGAGGTTTACTGGGGTAATCAATGTAGCATTCTAAGGTAAGCTTAGCTGAGAACGGTGAATAGAGTTCAGCAATATTTCATTTTTATTCAATGTTTATCTAGTTTGCATTTATCACAAACAAAATGTATAACGGAATTACCAGGTCTAATACATTGAATTTTAATACGTAGATGGTGCCTAGAATTTTCTATTGATATGGAAGTGCTGGGAAAGGAAGAGCATAGTCCCTTTAAATAATACAGAAGCGGGGAAGAGAAGTGCTTGGTAGAGGAGAGTGCAGTCCCTGACTAGGGCTCCACCTCCATGGACCTAGGTGAGGGTAGGCACTTCTGCCTTCATGACCAAATGTTGCATTCTCCAAGACCACCTTGGCTTGCCATGCCCCCATCCTGGGCCTGTAAAAACTCGAGACCCTAGCAAGGCAGACACACAAGTGGTTAAATGTTGTGAGGAGCACATCGGTGGAAGACACAAGTGGCTGGTCATCAAGAGCACATCAGGGGAAGGAGCATGCCCGACAGGCACTAGCAGGCTGGCAGGCCATCGACCAGTGGAATGATGTGGAGCTTGTCCAGAGTGGTAGGAGAAGAGTCGAGCAGCCCAACTCTAGGGGAAAACCATCTCCCTTTGGCTCCTCCATCTGCTGAGAGCTACTTCCACTCAATAAAACCCTACACTCATTCTCTAAGCCCACGTGTGATCCAATAATTCCGGGACACCAAGGCAAGAAACCCTGGGATACAGAAATCCCCCTGTCCTTGTGATAAGGAAGGGGGTCTAATTCAGCTGGTTAACACAAGCCACCTATAGATGGCAAACTAAAAGAGCACCCTGTAACACATGCCCACTGGGGCTTCAGCTGTAAACATTAACCCCTAGACACTGCCTTATGGTCAGAGCCCCACAGCCTGCCTGTCTGTATGCTCCCCTAGAGGTTTGAGCAGCGGGGCACCTAGGAAGAGAGCCACACCCTCAATGCATGCCCTACGAGGGGGAAGGGGAACCTTTCCCATTCCACTGTGATCTCAGAATATCAATAGCTTCCAGAGTTACCTAGCTATTTCTGCCGCATTCACACTGGTTGTTGTCTACTACAGGCAGATAAGTAGCACTTATTAAATCTGCAGGAGATAATTTTATAGCCGTTCTTGAATGTTTTTAGTCACTTTAAGAATTATAGCCTCAGAATCAAAACATATTTATTTTCACTGAATTTTTAGGCCATTGGTTGACAGACTATTATGTTCAAATTCACTCAACAAAGGCTAATCTTTTGTTTTATACTCTGGTATTTAGAAAGTTTTTTGGTGTGTAGTTTTTCATAACTTTTACCTTAATTTTTCCTGGTACAATTCAAGATGGTTCACTGCTTTTCAGCAAACAAATAAAAATCTCATGTCTACCTAACTACTTGCTGTTGTTACACTTCCTAAATATATGTAGGTATATATATATATATACACACATATATATACATATATATTTGCTGTTGTTACACTTTCTAAAATTATATATATATATCCACTTCAAGAATCTCTCACAAGCCATTTTTGCACTGCAGCATGTGCATATGTGTGTGTGTGTGTATATATATACATATATATATATATACACATATATATAGCCGTTTTCCCATTTGTGACATATGTTGCAAAGCAAAAATGGTTTGTGAGAGATCCTTGAAGTGGCGATATATATATATACACACACACACACACATATATGTGTGTGTATATATATATATATATATATATATATATATATAAATTTAAGAAGTGTAATAACAGCAAGAAATATATAGATAGATATAGATATAGATATAGATATAGATATAGATATATTCCTGGATAAAAAGTCTGAAGCTATTAAATATCTTGAGAGCCAACAAAATTTTAGGTATTATTTGGTAATGCAGTTTTATTTGATGTAAAATAAGTATTTTAGGTTTCTCCAATATTCACACTCTGAGTATCTATGGAAATCATGTTAAGTAAGAGTTTAATGCAACAGATCATAAAATAAGACTGTCAGATCAGCCATTTCATCATAGTGCCTACATTGTTTTGCTAGATAAAATTGGGCCGGTCACTTTATTTTATAATTTACTGTTAAGTGCTAGTCAATCAAGTTTCAATTCATGACTTAAGTATGAAATATAAGGTTGCATTTAATTCAATTTGGCTATATGTGTATTAAGAGAAGTATTGGCAACAATAAGGACAATCACACTAAAAATATAAAAAATATAAGTCATGATAAATGCAAGCCTATTGTGACAAGAGCAGTAAGTGAGATGAGTGATAAGTAGTACTAATGTATAATTTGCAACTAAAATTTGTGAATTATGGTCAGAACTTCTTTTCGAGTAGCATTTCTTTTAAGGACACAATAGTAAAGACATTCTTTTGCTTTCTATTTATTATTTCTTGAGAAGTTTTCATGTCTCACTAATCTTCAGTGAAATTATAAATTTTGCAAAACAAAACAAAAATCTAAATTTCATGAAACTACCCAACATCAAATTGCAAATAGTAATGGAATAATTATATTATCAGTGAAGTCCTGTGTTTAAAATCTGTGTGCCAATTGTGGCATATTAAAGTTTGTAGGTTATAGTTACATTGACTACAGAGAAGGAATGAAAATGTTTTCTTTATATTAGTCTTATAATTTCTAAAGTGCACTAAGGAAGTCATGAGGAAAGCTAGAGCTTTAAGAAACCATTATATTTAAGACTATAGAAATTAATTTAAAAATGCCTGTATTATTATGACATATTAAAGAATAGTATAATATTTTTAAGTATGTACAGGGCTCTTTAAATGTAAGTATTATGACCAAAACTGACTTTGTTGATATCTGATTATATTGCCATTGCCGAAATTTTTTTTTCCTTGTTGATCTTTTTTAGCCACCTGGTTAATCTTTAAAACACATTGCTACTTGTACTTTCTTGGTGCATATATCTGCAATCTAATTATTAATGACAGACATAAATAAAAATCTATTTAGATTAAGTAAATTTTCTTTTGTACCAAGTGAAGAAAACCAACCACTACATACTTTTTTCTTTTATCTATATTAAAAATATAATTTATGTGTAAATGTAAAATATTGTAGACTAGAGTAATGAGAGAATTCCCCCTCTGCTTCTACAATATAGAAATTCTGGAAACAATATAAATGAAATGTTAAAATACATAAACAAACACCAAATTAATAGAAGAGAATTCCCAGGTTTCAGAGGGTAAAAAGGAAGTGAATGTCAGAATAATGTGTAGGACAGTGAACAGAAACTTGCAAGAAAATAGAGTCTAAAATTAAAAAAAATAAATTAAAGCACTTATTTAAAATTACACCTTAGCAAACATGGAGAATTTTACAATTTCATTGACAGGATTATTTGGTTTTAATGCCCTTACAAGAAAAAAAGTAAGGTCTTGGACTGTGCTATGATAGAAACGGAGCAGTGATTTTTTTAAAACTCAAATCATATATAAAAGATTTATCCACAGTAAAATAGTACAGTAAAAAGTAAACATACCAACACACAGAAACTTGCTTTGTACTGGCTTGTGTTATAATTATAATAAAATTCTCCCCTTAAAATGTTTACATATAGGCACACCTGTATAAAAGTTTGTGTTTTAAATGTTTAATTTCTATGTAGGCAAGGAAATCTCGAGCGGATAATGGCAACTTGGGCCCAGATTGGCAAATCAATGTTGGTGATAAATTGAGGTACATCCCAGGAGCAATAAAAACTCTCTTATGCAGTCAGAACAAAATTATTGCATATGAAATATTAGTTAAGAGTGTTTAAAATCCAACATTTACAGCAAAAATGAGAAAATCTATTATAAAAATAAACTGTCATAATTTTCTATGATAGAACAAGTTGCAGAGATTAAAAATACCTATTTAAGGCCAGGCACAGTAGCTAATGCCTGTAATCCCAATACTTTGGAAGGCTGAGGCGTGTGGAACACGAGGTCAGGAGATCGAGGCCATCCTGGCCAACATGATGAAACCCCGTCTCTACTAAAACACAAAAAAGTAGTCGGGTGTGGTGGTGCACACTTGTAGTCCAAGCTACTTGGGAAGCTGAGGCAAGGGAATCAATTGAACCCGGGAGGTGGAGGTTGCAGTGAGCTGAGATTGTGCCACTGCATTCCAGCCTGGTGACAGAGCAAGACTCCATCAAAACAAACAAACAAAAAAATTTAAAATAATTAAATTCAACGTAATGAATCAAGAACAACCATCTTCAAAAAAAGAGGGAATTAATTTTTAAAACACTTTTTAAGATACAATATAATCTTGTGAAATGAATAATAAAGTAACTAAAAGTAAAAACTCAACAGATGGAGTAAACATCATATCACATTCAATGAAATAACTAGTAAACTGAAAGTTGGATCTGAAAAAAATTACTCAGAAGACATTAAAAGAGATATGAAAGACAACTGAGAGACAAGGGTGGCAGAATGAAAACGTCCAACATATGTTTAATAGTATTTTAATGACAAGAGGAAATACTGGAAAATATTATTTATTTAAAAATGCCAGAATGATAAAAGACATCGATTGTAAGACTCAGAAACATAGTAAAATCTAAACAAGATAAATAGCAAAAAAAAAAAAAAAAATCCACATCTTTGTAGCAAAATTTCAGAACATTATTAATATAGTGAACTTAAAAACAACCAAAGAGAAAAGACAGATATTTACAAGAGATGTTAGATTTACTGTAGACTTCCCAGAGTATCAAAAAAAAAAAAAAAAAGCCAGAAAAGAATGGCATAGTATTTTCTCTATATATAGAAATACAACTGCCAAACTAAAGTTATTTACATGTTTAGTTAAAAGCATGTCAGTTACCTACACAGTATACTTTATACCTTAAATAAGTAACTGGGTCACATTTTTCTTTGTGTTGGCAAAAGATCCAGTGAAAGGGCAATATTTTCCAGCTCTGCATAAAGTGAGATGCAAGCCTGCACACATTTGCACAAACAAAGGGACTATCTAAAATAGGAACTTATACTTCTTAAAAGGGAAGCAGAGTGTAAAAGTTTGGAAAATTTGCAGTCTGACAATGTTGTAGAAAAAAACGAAAAACAACAACAACAACAAAACATTTTTCAGGGAGAAATTCAAGCCAGCTGCAGAAATTCACATAAGTAAAGGAGAGACAAATATTAATAGCCAAGACAATAGGAAAATGCCTCCAAGGTATTTCAGAGACTTTTATGGCAGCCCCTCCCATCACAGGCCCAGAGGACTAGGAGGAAAAAATAGTTTTGTGGGCCAGGCCCAGCGTCTCACTGCTCTGTGCAGCCTCAAGAAATGGCATCCTTCCTCCCAGCCACTGCAGCTCTAGCTGTGGCTAAAATGGACCAAGGTACAGCTTGGGTTGTTGCTTCAGAAAGTGCAAGCTCCAACTTGGCAGCTTCCACATGGTGTTGGGCCTGGAGGTGCATAGAAGGCAGGAGTTGAGGTTTTGGAGCCCTTACCTAGATTTGGAGCCCTTACCTAGAGGGTGTATGAAAATGCTTGGATGTTCAGGCAGATGTGTGTTACAGGGGTGAAGCCCTCATGGAGAACCTCTACTAGGACAGTGCAGAGGGGGAAATGTGGGATTGGAGCTCCCACACAGTGTCCCCACTGAGGCACTTCCTAGTGGAGCCATGAGAAGAGGACCACTATTCTCCAGACCCCAGAATGGTAGATCAACCAACACTTGCACTGTGCACCTGTAAATGCTGCAGGCACTCAACACCAGACCATGAAAGAACCTGTGAGGGCTGCACTGTTCAGAGCCACAGGGGTAGAGCTGCCCAAGGTGATAGGAGCCCACCCCTTGAATCAACATGGCCTGGATGTGGGACATGGAGTTGAAGGATATTATTTTGGAACTTTATGGTTTAATGATGGCTGTGCTGGGTATGGACTTGCATGGGGCTTGTAGCCCCTTTGTTTTGGCCAATTTCTCCCATGTAGAATGGGATCATTTAACGAATTCATTTACCCCCATTGTATCTTGCAAGTAACTAACTTGTTTTTGATTTTACAGGCTCACAGGCAGAAGGGACTTGCCATGTCTCTGATAAGACTTTGGACTTGGGCTTTTGGTTTAATGCTGGAATGAGGCAAGACTTTGGGGGACTGTTGTGAAGGTATGATTGTATATTGAAATATGAGAAGGACATGCGCTTTGGGAAGGGCCAGAGGCAGAACGATATGGTTTGGCTCTGTGTCTCCACACAAATCTCATGTTTAATTGTGATCTCGAGTGTTGGAGGTGGGGCCTGGTGGGAGGTTATTAGATCATGTGGGTGGTTTATAATGGTTTAGCACCATCCCACTAGTGCTGTCTCATAATAGAGTTCTCACAAGACTGGTTGTTTAAAGCTTGTATCACTTCTCCCTTTGTTCTCTTCCTCCTGCTCTGACTATGTAAGACATGCTGGCTTCCTCTTTGCCTTCTGCCATGATTGTAAGTTTTCTGAGGCTTCCCCAGCCATGCCTCCTGTACAGCCTGCAAAACTGTCAATCAATTATACATTTTTTCTTTATAAATTACCCAGTCTCAGATAGTTTTTTTATAGCAATGTGTGAATGGACTAATACAGTCTTTTTTTCATTAGGCTCACAGAATTATTTAAAAAAAATTAACCCACAAAAAGCTCCCAAATCCTAGCTAACTATTCATTGCTTGCCATACATAGGCCATCTCCTATAGTGCCAGCTCTGTAACTCTTTCCCTGAGTGTAACTCAGTTTGTGGCCCTGCATGGCAGCCTTCTCTTTTTTGGAACTTTAAGTAAGAAGGAATTCTGCCTTTCTTCTCTCCAGATGGTCATTGTGTTGTATCCCACCATCATCAGCATGTAACAAATATTTTTAAAAAACCTAAAGCAAGTGCATAATTATGTGTTGTCTTTTCATTCTATATGAATATTATTCTTCTGCTTTTGATCTTTCTTCTTTTGTGGAAGGAAAAGGACATTTGTTTATGCCAGATTAAAAGCTAAATGTCATGTGTCCGTAGCTCTGAGGATCTTCCCTAGTAAATATACATATAACATAGCAGCTGCAAAGGGAATGAATTTCTATTTGAGTTTGTGCTAATTCACTATGATCTGCCAAATTTCATCTAATTTCCATAAGAGCCAAACTGGTAAACTAAATGGGTATATAACAATGAATACAATTTCTATGTTCATAATGTGTTTAAACATGGCACTAACCTATTAACCTCTTTTATGTGATATTGTTTACTATTTATTATTTTGGCTGAGGTAAAGGTTGTTAGAAATTTTCACTTAATCTTTTTATTATAATAGTTCTTACATATATTTCAAAAACCCAAAATAAGGTTTCTGTTAACTACCAAGTATATTCATTCTAATTATGTATTTGAAGACTAAGGAAAATAAACACTAGATTGGACCATGGATCCAGTGAACACAGTATAAACTGGAACTGGTTTAAAACTACACTGCCCAGTCTCCATATGTCCCACACTAATAAGGGGACAATGATGAGGCCTCAGGTATCTACTTTAGATATTATTCGTTTGTAAGAAGCCTGAGGAGGAGAGGTTGATTAGCTAACTGGAAAGTTGCTTCTACAAAATGAGATAATAATTAAAATTTTCAACATTATTATTGTTGGGAACGTGGCACACAGAACAAGTCTTCAATTGACACTTAATGGGATTTTTCTTGTGTTAATGGCAGACTAGAAGTAAAGAAGAATGCACAGTGATTGAGATCCAGAGTAAAATTACCTGAATTCCTGATTGAATAAAGAGACTTTTCTTTAATTATCTTAATCATGCCTGCAAAAATAAAAGTCTAATTTTTTTCTAGAGCTAGATAGTAATATACCAGATCCTCAATTTTTTCAAAATATTATACAATATTCAAATAAAAATGTATGTATATTTCAAGAAACAAGATGGATGATGACAATATAATTGATCCAAAAGTGCCTCAGGTATTAAATTTATTAGATAGAAACTCTAAAATAACTATAATTATTATTTTCAAGAAAATTAATAGCATTAATAATAGAGGAACTGAATGTAAAAACAAGAAGTGAAAAGCATAAAAGAGAAACAAAAACACAACAACTGAAATTCAGATCTCAATGTATGTATTTAGGAGTAGATTTAGTTTATTACCTTGATTGTGTTAGTGGTATCATGGGTGTTTGCATATGTCTAAATCTATCCACATGTATGCATTAAATATGTGCAGTTGTTTATATATTGATTATACTTCAATAAAACTGTTTAAAAGAAGAGTAAAGTGGGTAAAGTTGAAGTGAAGACTATTGAGTTGAAGAAATAGTGGAAACTATAGAGACTAAAGCAGGGAGAGAAAAAAAGAGAACACAGACAAAAGTGTACACGAATATCATGATAGAAAAGACTAACACAAGTATTATTACAAAAATAGTATTTGATGAGATAATATTCCAAAAGTGGCATGAAACATCACACCACATATTTATGAAACCCAAGAAGCTCCAAGCAAAATAACTTCAATAACAATACCCAGTCACAATCAAAGTTATTGTGTTGAAAAACAGTGAGAAAAAGAAACATATATAAAGCATCCTGGAAAAAGATACTTTATATTCACAGAGGTAACAGTGAGACAGACGGTTAATGCTTTAACTGAAATTTGGAACCTGGAAGATAAAGGCATGTAAAATGTTGGAAAATACTGCTAAGTATTAACTATACAGTCAGTATAAATATTCTTAAAAGGTGAAGGGCTATAAAATGGTTTTAGATTCATAAATTGAAAGGAAAAAGAGTTGTAGATTATAGAATCATATTAAAAAGGATATTAATGAGTTTATACAGAAGCAAAATGATGCTAGAGAAAAGGCACACCAATTTAGAAAAAAAAAATTAGGGAAAATTCATGGATAAATTATAACAAATATTAGCATACAGGACAACATTTATCATTTCTTGTAGTATTTTTAATTTACATAGAATTAAAATACATGCAGAGGTGGGGGAAGACGGCAGACAGAAGACAGGGCTAACATGCAGCTCCCATTTGGACTGACAGAACAGTGCGTGAAGACTCACACTGCAAATTTTTGCTGCAAGAACCATTGCAGGACTGTACCAGGAAAACAGAAAGAATTCACAGATCCTTTGAAAGAAGTGGCATGAGATAGGCAAAAAACTGTGAGTTCTCAAAGTGTGAGAGAGGAAAAACCTGCTTCCAAACACACCTTCCCACTGGGGAATCTAAAAATACAGATCACAGGAGAAGGATTTAACCTTACCTAGAGCTGGAATGGATTTAGGGAGCCATGGAAAATATAAAAGTAAAAGCAACAGTGGGAAGAGCCTTATGGGTACTCCCATTCTCCAGCTGGAGCACAGGGAAGCCATCTTTGACTACATCTCACAGAGGCCCTCAGGAAAGGCATCCAGCAAAATTACGGAGGGGTCACAAGGTGTCAGAAGCTTCCAACTGAATTTTGCAATGATTTTGACTGGGAACTAACCTTTTTGAGCAGAATATGGGGGGAAAACAAGAACTGCGACACATACGAGGACAAGAGCCACAGCCAATACTGTGGCCAGGCAGTTAGGGGCAAGACTGGAAAGCTGAGCTTGCTTGATCAGTTCAGTAGCTTAGGCCTGGGAAAAGGTCTGAGTTCTGCATCAGCAAGCTGTCTGGATTTAAACCCAGCAGTTTTAGTGGAGACCAGGGCACTGTGGAAGCCAGACTGGCCCTGCCAACTGCATGGGAGGTGGGTGAAGTCTTTGCTACTGACTAGCTCCCACTTCCCTGACAAACAATATTGCTAAGCAGAGGCAGCCATACTCCCCTCTAGGACATAACTTCATTGGCCTGAGAACCACCCCCATCCCCCACGGTGGGCACAGCAAGCCCCGGCAAAGGAGAGTTTGAGACCAGACCCACTTAATCTTGCCCCAACCTGATGGTATTTTTCTACCAGCCCTGGTAGCCAAACACAAAAGACATACAGTCTTGGTTGCTTTATGACCCTACCCATTGCCTAAGTAACCAGAATACCTCCCCTGGCCAACTTAGGGGAAGCTTATATCCCACCACAGCTGGTGCTCTGTTACAACTGCCACTGTTTGGCTGGAGGCAACCAACTCAGGCCTTTACAGCAACTCATGACAAAACAACCCTGCTCCAAGGAAGGAGAAAATGACCATTAATACCACGCCTGAAACATACTGGCTAACAAGCAGCCCTGAGTCTGTCCATGTGACAACTTCACTGACTGCTAACATAACCAGCATTTGAGAAAGCCAGCACACTAAATGTATCTACAATAAAAAATTCTCATGGAATCTATTTCACTCCCCTGCTACTACCACCAGATCAGGTCCTGGTATTCACAGCTGAGAAACCTGAAGACACACCACATCACAGGACTCTTTGCAGCCATTACCCAACACCTGCTGGAGCCTGGTGGCACTGCTGGGTAGCTAGACTCAGAAGAGCAATAACAACCAATCACAGTAGTCTCGCTCTCAGGAAGCCCCCATAACTAGGGGAAACAGGGGAGTACCATATCAAGGGATTACCCCATGGGACAAAAGAATCTTCATGTCTACAAGCACTAAGAATCAAATTAAGCTAAAATAGACATTAAAACCTGATTCTTAAGAGGGAAAAACAGGGCCGGGCGCGGTGGCTCACGCCTGTAATCCCAGCACTTTGGGAGGCCGAGGTGGGCGGATCATGAGGTCAGGAGATCGAGACCATCCTGGTTAACACTGTGAAACTCTGTCTGTACTAAAAATACAAAAAAATTAGCCGGGCGTGCTGGTGGACGCCTGTAGTCCCAGCTACTGGGAGGCTGAGGCAGGAGAATGGCATGAACCCAGGAGGCAGAGCTTGCAGTGAGCCTAGATGGCGCCATTGCACTCCAGCCTGGGTGACAGAGCCAGACTCCCTCTCAAAATAAAAAAAAAAAAAAAAGAGGAAAAAACAACAACATCACAAAAACCATAGTCTGATCAAAAATAAATTCAAGAACAATTATAAGAAATAGTCTACCCAAATGAGAAGAAACAGAAAAGTAATTCTGGTAATATCACAAAACAGTGTTCTATAACACCTCCAACATATCACACTAGCTCCCCTGCAATTGTTCCAAACCAAGAAGAAATCTGAATTGCCAGATAAAGAATTCAGAAGGTTGGTTATTAAGCTACTCAAGGAGATACCAGAGAAAGGTGAAAACTTAAACAAACAAACAAACAAAAAACAGAATATGGATGAGAACTTCTCCATGGAAATAGATGTTATAAAAAAATCACAATTCTTGGAAATAAAAGATATACTTACAGAAATACAAAATGCAGTAGAAAGTTTAAATCATTGAGTGGAACAAGTAGAAAAAGGAGCTTGAAGACAGGCTTTTGAATTCTCCTAATTCGACAAAGACAAAGAAAAAAGAACAAGAACAATGTCTCCAAGAGGTTTGGGATTATGTTAAATGTCCGAAACTAAGAATAATTGGTGTTCCTGAGGAAAAAGAGGAGAAATCTCAAAGTTTGAAAAACTTATTTGAGGAAATACTTGAGGAAAACTCCCCTGGCCTTCAAGAGGTCTAGACAGCCAAACACAGGAAGCTCAAATAATTCCTGGGAAATTTATCACAAAAATATCATCTCCTAGGCACATAGTCAACAGGTTATCTAAAGTCAAGATGAAGGAAAGAATCTTAAGTGCTGAGAGACAAAAGCAATAATATAAATTAGACTATGTTTGCTACTGAATGACATGAAGAGTTGTAAGATCCATCTAAGACCAGTTTAGAGGAAAATCTTGCAGCTTTAAATACATATAATAAAAAAGAGGGAAATGTGAGAAATTAGTGACCCAGTATCCACTTCAAAAATCAGTTATCTATTATTCTATTTTAGACATTGTAGGAGTGTTGATGTTGTATTTTTTAGATAGAACTTAATTTGCAATGTCCTGAAGATTTGATACTGAGGGCCTATTCTTATGCTCACTGTCCACTTGGACATCTTTGTGAAATATCTGTTCAAGTTTTTGCCATTTATTGAGTTGTCTATGTTTTCCTAATCAATATGCCTATTGTATATTAAAAATGTGAATTCTTTAGTAGATATACGCATTACAATTCCTTCTCCCACCCTATGGCTTCATTATTTATTCTCTTAGTATTTTTTGATGAGCATAAATTCTTAATAAAGTTTAATTGATCAATTAAAAAAATTTACCAAAAGAAGTATTAAACTATATCTAAAGAAATTAAATAAAAAATATGAGAACAAGATATAATAAAATAAAATAAATATACAATGTAATCAATAAATATATATTTACATTATATTTAAGTAAAATTAATACATATATAATCAACATGGTCAGATGAGCAGAAAATTAAAGGAAAAGGATAATCCAATATTCAATAAACTTATGAAAATACAATTATTCTCATCTATTAGAGAATTGCAAATTTAAAGTACCATGAAACATCATTTCAGATACAAATAACCCAATTATTTTTTCTCTTTGGTTTTCTTAGCTAATATTGTGATTTTTCTTTTGAAATATATTTTAGAATTGACTTTTTATGTTTTTTAAAAAACATGGCAGAATTTAAATTTGAATTATACTGAATTATTTCTTTTCATTTTGGGAGAATTGATACATTGACTACATTTAATCTTTCAATCTAGATATATGGTCTTTCCATTTATTTAGGTGTTCTTTTATATACTTAGAACAGTTCTACAGTTCACTATCTACAGACTTTTCATGTGTATTATATTTATTCCAAGATAAGTTGAATTATTCTGTTAGAAAATCTAAGGCAGGTATTGTGAGAATTGGCTTTCATGTGTTCTTTTATATATTTAGAAAAGTTCTACAGTTCACCATATAGAGACTTTTCATGTGTATTATATTTATTCCAAGATAAATTGAATCATTCTGTTAGAAAATCTAAGACAGGTATTGTGAGAATTGGCTTTTCATGAAAAAAAGTAGATATTCTGGCATTCATAAATTTTCCAGTTCCAAATTCATGCAATCCAATCTCCATAAGAGAGAAGAACAAGTTGCTTTAAAGAGAAACAATCAGAGAATTCAAAGAGGACTCTCAGATATTTTAAAAAATGTTTTTGTTTTATAAAAGTTTTAAAATAGTTAGATAGAGTGGATGATGAAATAAGTCTCCCAGAAAGCAGGGAATGGTAATACTTTGCAAATATCCTTTTTGGTCACCCATATTCTCAACTTCTTTGGAGTATGCAGAAACTATATAGGTTCTGGTTCAGAGAATGTAAGTAGAAATGAACTGTCAGTTACAAACTGAAGCATGAAGGAGCCAATTTGTGCTCTCTGTGCCTGCTATAAAGATTATAGGAGACTGCAAATTTAGAAGATAGTGCTATAAGATCACAGCTGCCCCAAATTTTCTGTGACTTCATTGAGGGCAACTGCCCTGGAGAGTATCTAAGAAACTACAGTGGACTTTGCTTGAGAGAAATATGAACAGTAGTTTTGTTAAGCTACTGAGACTTGGACATAGTTTATTACCACAGTGTAAAATAGATTGCTCCACTGTAAGGTAAGTCTTTTAAATGTATGTTCATACACACATACTCTTCCTCAGTAAATCTTGGAAGTTTTAGAACTGTCTTTTTATGCCTTAGTCTTAGACAATTTTATAATTTTACAATTTTATAATTTTACAATTTTATAATTTGTATATGCATTAGTATTTTTGTTTTTCTTTTACCCAACCTGCTTATTTCTCTCCAGTGGTCTTTTTCACTCGGAGCCACCAGGACATCCTTCAAATTAGAGGGCCCACATCTGTTACTGTTTTCATAACTACTTCCATTGTGTTTCCCACTTTCTTTTTCTAAAGCTCAGTTGTCAAATATTGTAATTACTGAAAATATTTTTTAGGCTCTTATCTTCCCTATCATATTTTCTACTTTTTTGTCAAAATGACAGAATTCCGTTTTGGAACTTCATTTTCAAGAACTTCTAATCCATCTGAAAGTTTTAATTTTTTATTATGAATCATTTGTTTTTAAGTTTTCCATAATACCTTATTGTTCTTTTATACAGTATGGAAATATAAAACAAAGCAAAACATTACACGTAAAGTACACTGCCAGTGGATATTTTGTGATCAATGGATGAACTAATCAAGCTCTTTTTCTCTAAAACTATTTAAAATTATTATTCAAAAATACATTGCCCTTTAGTGAAAAAGTTCAAAAAGCACTAGCTAAAATATTTGTATATTTAAAAATGTAAACCTGTCTGCATATAGCACATATAGTCCTAAATGGAACAACCTCAATTGTAGAATGCTGAACAATATTTTTACTTGTTTATTTTATTTTATTTTATTTTTTATTCAGCACAGTGTCTCTCTGTCACCCAGGCTGGAGTGTACTGGTGCAATCATGGCTCACCACAGCCTCAAGTTCCTGGGCTCAAAAGATCCTCCCATTTCAGCCTCCTGAGTGGCAAAACGGCCTCTCCACATACACACAAAAAATTAGTGGCCAGGCGCAGTGACTCTTGCCTGTAGTCCCAGCACTTTGAGAGGTAGAGGCAGGCATATCACTTGAGGTCAGCAGTTTGAGACCAGCCTGGCCAACATGGCGAAACCCTGTCTTTACTAAAAATACAAAAAAAATTAGCTAGGTGTGGTGTCACACACCTATAATCCCAGCTACTCTGGAGGCTGAGGCAGTAAAATCGCTTGAACTTGGGAGGTGGAGGCTGCAGTGAGCCAAGATTGTTCCATTGCACTCCAGCCTGGGTGAGAGAGTGAGACTCCATTTCAAAAAAATTAAAAAAATTAAAAAAATTAAAATTAGGCTTGGTGGTGTGCACCTGAGTAGCTAGGACTACAGGTGCAAATGACCATACCTGCCTAATTTTTACTTATTTATTTACTTTTTGTAGAGAGGCAGTTTTGCCGTATGTTGGCCTGGATGGTCTAGAACTCCTAGGTTCAAGTGATCCTCCCATCTCAGCCTCTCAAAGTGCTGGAATTACAGATATGAGCCACCACACTTCACCTGGTTAATATATTTTAATTGGAATTTACAATATCCTATTCTTATTAGCTATAGATTAGAAAATACAATACAATATTAAGTGACAGACCAAAGATCGAAATATGACCATTAAAGGGTTACATATCTAAATTATTTTTAAAGTAGTAAGAACCAAGTTCAGAAAATTTGATTATTTTCTTGTCACACAGGCAATTTTAAAAATACATACGTTGACAAAAAAGACGTAGATTGACACAGCTATTGAAAGTTTCAATGAGATTTTTTGTCCAAATAACTTCAATATTTGTATTTAATTCTGTTCTCTCAATAAAAAAATCCTCTCTCTTTAATCAAAATCAATAATGTGTACAACATTAATTCAAACCACGACTTGCCCTCTCTTAGAAGCTGCATAAATTTCCAATTTCCTTATGATCTCTTCTGAGCTTTTCCTCTCCCTGTTGTATAACCCTGCCATGAAGCATGCCAGGAAACCGTATTAGTTTTTGTGTACCTTTTCATAACACTAACATGTGCTAAAAGGAATTTTTTAAATACAGGATTATTGTTTCACAAATCTTCAAAGGTTATACCATGGTTTCTTAATGCTACATAACATGCATTAGTCAGTATAAAACGTTTTCAAATACACAATAGAAAAATAAAAAGTTTCCTTACAAATTGAGATGACAATTACGGAAGCCAAAAAATATCCTGGTGATTGAGGAAAACTAATTTATGACAAATACACACTCAAGCACACACATTAACAACAAGAATGCAAAAGATTACCATCCTAGCTGGAAGTAAACTTTCATGAGCAGTGCATTCTTAAAAGGAAGCCACCTACATGCATACATTTATGAATATTCAGTTACTATAGAACAAATTTGGAGAAAAAATTTAGGAATCTTCTTTAATGTGATATCAAACTAAAGAACTGTAAGCAGAATAGGCTATTGTTTTTAAGAGAGGTTGTATATTTTAAATTAGAAGAAATTTTCTCAAATTAAAAAGAGGATAGTTTATGTATGTAATATATTTTCAGCTGGTATTTTGATACCACTCTGCCTGTAATCCAGTTTAAAGCCATTTCCACATTGTTAGGTATTTGTTACACAAGCATCACACTTCCCATTACTAGAATCTATATCAGTTTGCTGGGGCTACCATTGCAAAGTCCTACAGACTGGGTAGCATAAACAATATAAATTTTTTGTCTTACAGATATTAAGGCCGGAAGTCCAAAATCAACTTGTCATTAGGGTTGCTTCCTTACAAGAGCTGAGAGGGAAGTGTCTGCTTCTGGCCTTTCTCATTGGCTTGTGATGGCATCTCCTTATGTCTCTTAACATCGTGTTTTCTCTATGAACAACTGTATACAAATTTCCCCATTTAATAAGGACATCAGTCTCATTGGATTAGGAACTCCCCATGACCTCCCTTTTCCTTGATTAGCCCATTTCCAAATAAGGTCATATTTTAGGTACTAGGAATTAAGACTTCAACATATGAATCTGGGTATCACACAGTTCAACTCATAACAGGATCCATTCTCAAATCATTATCCTCTTCCTATCATCCTACCTCTTTCTCAAACCTCCTTGTCACCAATTCTCCAATCTGTTTTTTACAAGCCTCTTGAAACGCAGACAAACCATAAGACAATGCCAATGAAGTAGTAATATTTCTGAATGTATCTCTCCAGCTCCAAAAATTGAGCAATCAAATGTAATGATCAAAGTTCTGCTTACTATGAAAATTTCTCATCCTCTTTGGCTTTCTGAGTCACCCTCACAAGGCCCATAATACTGCAGCAATCAACTCAGCTGATGCTGGTTTTGCCTGCAGAACTATCTTTAAATCAAGCTTGTATATTTTTATTCTTTCTTAACTGGCTTTAAGGAACTTCCCATGAAGCCATAGGTGTGTGTTAAGGAATATATGACAATGTAGCAAAGATAGGTATTATAATGAGAGTTTGAGCAACTTGTTCATGTAGCTTTCTTGTGCCTTCAGGAGCTTCATTATGAGTAACTTTATGGTTTGGTGTAACAAATGGCATCCAGTTTATTATAGATAGTTCGGTTCTTAGGGTCATATTAAATTCATGGTCAAGAATTTCGTTTCTGTAAGGGTCCAGTAGCAATTGTACACAACACTTGATCAGGTTTGTTATACTATTATAAGATTCAGAGGTCTTGCATACATGTGAAATAATTGAGTTAAAACGGGAATCACTATACCTGCATCTTCCAAGTTTCTTATGAAGATACTAACCTCTGCGATTCACTCAGCAATGTGACATTGTTTTGGTCAACTCTGTTAGTAGGGAGGGTTGGATGCAAGGTCTTGCACTTAGACTTTTCTACCACAATAATGCTCACTAGATTGACCAGGTACCCAATGTAGATTTATTTATTTTTTGACAAGTATTTTTATTTTAACTATGCATTCAGTAGGTGTAGAAATAAATACAGGATCGATCTCTGGAGCCTCTGGTCCCACTCTGAGACAGACATAGACTAACAGTCTATCTTCCAAAACATACAAGTACTGACACTATCCACTACACCAGGGGCTTGTTCTGGATTCTATAGGTTAGCCTGAGTTCAGAGGCAATGCCAAATAAGACCAGTCCCATCAAACCCACTGAAATACTATGGCAGGAGGGAAGAGAAGCAGTAGTAATAAAATTTGTAATAACATAAGTTGCTCAGTACATTATAATTATTAGCAATGTATAATAACCATTAGTCTAAATAAGAGATTATAAGAAATAAGTGCTACATAACAAACCTTAAACAAACCAACAAACAAAAAAAAGAAATCAGTGCTGTCAGGTGTAAACAATGTCAAGGAACATGTACGTAGTTCTCAGCTCCTTCGATTAATGCTAAAGGATATTGAAAAAAATGAATTAAAGAATAGGCTTCATCACTGGGCATGGAAGCCTATACCTGTAATGCCAGCTGCTCAGGAGGCTGAGGTGGGAGGTTCACTTGAGCCCAGGAGGCAGAGACTGCAGTGAGTGAGCTGACATCACTCCACTGCAGTCCAGCCTGGGTGACAAAGTGAGAACCTGTCTCAAATAAATAAATAAATAAAAATAAAAAAAGACCAGGCTTCATCAGGGAAATGAAGATGAATCATTTTTTCATTTTCACAAGGGTTCTCTATAATATATTTTTCCAAAACTTACTAATTTAGTAAGTAGCAGTGACTCATAAAAGCAGTAACTCTAAAGGAATGGGCTAAGGAGAAGTTAGAGGGTATACATTTATTTGTGACCTTATAAATATCACCTGTGAGGAATGATTCTAATAGTTTTTTAAATTTAAATGTATCAGCTAATAAAAAAATCAGCAAATACATGAAAAGCTGCAATGATTGAGATGCAACAGAAAAAATACGACAGAATTAACTACACAATGATATCAGAAATTGAAATCATAAAATATAGGATATAAAAAACTATAACTAAAATACTTATATAAAATTATATTGAAGTGAAGCATTTCTGGGATGGCACTGTAAATGCTTTGAAAGTGTGTTTCTTAATAAAAGTAATTAGAACACTATAAAATTGCCAAAATCAACTTTTTCAGAAATTCGGAAATGGGGAACATTTATTCAAGGAATTAGCTGAACCTTGGTAAGAGTAGTGAGCTTTGTGGCATTTTAACTTACTCTATTTACATTTCTCTCTCCTGAGCTCTCCAGCAGTTTCTAAAATGAACAGCTTTGGTAATTGTGAAAAACAAGAGCATAGCAGCCACAAGAGGAGGCAGAAAGTGTTTGGCACTCCCCAAAAACCCCATCCCTAGAGAACTGTCACTGTTTGACATATCTGGCCGCTCAATGAAAAGCTACATTCTGAAGCATTTTCTTTAGTTTACCTTACTCAGAGAACACTTTGTGAGAACCACCCTGTCACCACAGAATTTTTTGTTTTTAAACCAAACTGTTCAATGTCACAGCTGAATGAAGTGATGTTAAGAACTGGGGCTACTGTGAATGGGAGTTCACTCATGCTTTGGCTCTCTGTCTATTAGTGGTGTATAGGAATACTTGTGATTTTTGCACATTGATTTTGTATCCTGAGACTTTGCTGAAGTTGCTTATCAGCTTAAGGAGATTTGGGGCTGAGACAATGGAGTTTTCTAAATATACAATCATGTCATCTGCAAACAGAGAAAATTTGAATACCCTTTATTTCTTTCTTTTGTCTGATTGCCCTGGCCAGAACTTCCAACACTATGTTGAATAGGAGTGTTGAGAGAGGGCATCCTTGTCTTGTGCCAGTTTTCAAAAGGAATGCTTCCAGCTTTTGCTCATTCAGTATGATATTGTCTGTGGGTTTGTCATGAATAGCTCTTATTATTTTGAGATATGTTCCATCAATACCTAGTTTATTGAGAGTTTTAGTGATCATTAAAAAGTCAGGAAACAACAGATGCTGGAGAGGATGTGGAGAAGTAGGAATGCTTTTACACTGTTGGTGAGAGTATAAATTAGTTCAACCATTGTGGAAGACAGTGTGGCAATTCCTCAAGGATCTAGAAATACCATTTGACCCAGCAATCCCATTACTGGGTATATACCCAAGGAATTATAATCCATTCTACTATAAAGACACATGCACATGTATATTTATTGCAGCTCTGGCAAAGACTTGGAACCAACTCAAATGCCCATTAATGATGGAGTGGATAAAGAAAATGTGGCACATATACACCATGGAATACTATGCAGCCATAAAAAAAGGATGAGTTCATGTCCTTTGCAGGGACATGGATGAAGCTGGAAACCATAATTCTCAGCAAACTAACACAGGAACAGAAAACCAAACACCACATGTTTTCACTCATAAGTGGGAGTTGAACAATGAGAACACATGGACACAGGGAGGGGAACATCACACACCAGGGCCTGTCAGGGGGTGGGGGGCTGGGGGAGAGATAGCATTAAGAGAAAAACCTAATGTAGATTATGGGTTGGTGGATGCAGCAAACCACCATGGCACATGTATACCTATGTAACAAACCTGCACGTTCTGCACATGTATCCCAGAACTTAAACTATGCTAAAATATATAAAAAGAGAGAAAAATTAAATAAATACATAAATAAATAAATAAATAAACTGGGGCTATCTCAAGGCTGACTAAAAATCTAACAGGAAAAAGTTGGGATATAAGTTGCCCATAGAGAACTTTTGAAAGCTCCAACATATTCCTGGGGATGTATAATTCTATGCACATTGAAGAGCTGTGCACATGTCCAGAAAAATACTGAGAAAGTTAACATATTTAACCTATACTTGACCTTGAGGTTTTAGGCAAACCAGAAATGCAGACTAAGGCAGAGTTGTAAACTGCCTGCCAAAGTATTAAAGGCATGTCCTGCCACATGGAGAGAAACTCTCAGCAGTTTGGATGATATATTGGTTCAAGTCATTTAAGGAAACCTCTGTTCAACCATTAGCTGATCAGAAAGCTAAACAGAGAAAAACTTTGGTGGAAACACATAACAAGGAATACAAACTTAACAGAATTGGTACAGGAATGCCACAAAATTAACCGCAACTATATAAAAAATAAAGAAAACAAAAACAACTTCAAAGGAGGTAGGGGAACATAATTTTAATATTTGTCAATTTATATTATTTGAAATATCCAGTTTTCAACAAAAAATATGAGATATACAAATAAATAGGAAAATAAGATATCTATGCAGGAAATATAAAAGTTAATAGAAACTGGTACTGAAAAAGTCCAGATATTGGACTTATTAAATTTAGTTGACCTAATATAAGTATAAAAAATGTAAAAAGAAAATGATGGCAAAAGAGAGTAGATCAATGGTATTATATTAAATAAAGAATATCAATAAGGAAATAATAATTGTATAAAAGCACAAAATAAATATGCTGGTGTTGAATAGTACAAACATTGAAATGAAAAATAAATCACTGAAGTGGCTCAACAATGGATTTCAACTGAAAAAGACAGAATCATCAAACTTGAAAACTAGTCAATTGAGATTATCCAGTCTAAGAAACAGAAAGACAACAAACAAACAAAAAAGAAACAGAACCCTAGAGACATGTGGGCCACAAATAAGTATATCAAAGTATGCAACATGGAAATCTGATGGACAGGATAGAGAAAACACTAAGAAAAATATTTGAAGAAATAATGACCAAAAATTTTTGCCAAAAATGAAATATTAATGTTCACATCCAAAAAGCTCAAAAAAACTGCAATTAGATAAACAGAAAACCATTCACATCTGGATACATTACAGTAAATTATCATAAGCCAAAGACAAATATAGAATCTTAAAAGCAGCAAGATAAAACTCACTTATCATAGACAAAAGAACCTCATAAGATTAACATTTGACTTCTCATCAAAAATCATGGAGGGCAAAAGACAGAGAGGAATGAAATATTCAATGTGCTGTAAGAAAAAGACTATCAACCAGATTTTTTTTTTGTAAAGCAAACTATACTTCAAAATTGAGGGAGAACTGAAGATATTTCTAGATTTAAAATAAACAACAGAGAATTTATGTTTTGCAAACCTGTCTAAAATAAATATTAAATGGAAGCTTTCAGATTGAAATGAAAGGACAATAGACAAAAACTAAAATCCCCAGGAGTAAATAGACTGGTGTTGGTAAGTACACAGGTATTAGTTTGGTGCAAAAGTAATTGCGGTTGTTGCCATTAAAAGTTGCACCAACTTAATAAATTTAACGTAGCATAAATGTATTTTTATTGTATATTTTTTTCTTGTAACTGATGTAAAGTGCATAGAGCAACAATTATAAAACTGTTTTGATGAGCTAATAAGCTATGAAGTTGTAATTTACAAGGCAAAGATAGTACAAAAGGAGAAAGACAGAAAAAGGAGCTATAGTGTAAAAATATTTTGTATATTATGAAATTCAATTAGTATTGTGATAAGAGCCATATTGTTTTGTATTGCTTTTATTTGGATTAAAGACTTTTATTTTTGAGACAGAGTCTCGCTCTATCACCCAGGCTGGAGTACAATGGTGCCATCTTGGCTCACTGCAACCTTTGCCTCCCAGGTTCAAGCAATTTTCCTGCCTCAGCTTCCCGAGTAGCTTGGATCACAGGTGTGTGCGCCACCATGCCCACCTAATGTTTTTGTATTTTTAGTAGAACAGGGTTTTGCCATGTTGGCCAGGCTGGTCTGAACTACTGACCTCAAGTGATCTGCCCGCCTCCACCTCCCAAAGTGCTGGGATTACAGGTGTCATATGCTTTTATTTTGCATAACTCTCTAAACAGTTCAGGCCAAAGACTATCAGTGTTCTCCATATTATCAGAAATAGAGTCCTTAGCATTCCTGGGTCTAATCATATTAAACAGCCAACTCCAGAAGCCCCAAAACCAAGAAAATAACTCCATCCTTAATATTCTGTTTTTCTAGAACCACTTCCTGGTACCAAAATCTGTATTAGTCAGGGTTCTCTAGAGGGACAGAAAGAATGGAATGTATTGGTATATAGATATATATAGTTTTGTTATTATTGCTTATGGACTTTACATCAGTTACAAGATAACTATAAATATATATGATATATACATATGAATATATATGTATATATATGTGTGTATGTATATATATATATATATAAAGGGGAGTTTATTAAGTATTAACTCACACAATCACAAAGTCCCATAATAGGTCATGTGCAGGCTGAAGAGCAAGGAGAGCCAGTCCGAGTTCCATAACTGAAGAACTTGGAGTCCCATGTTTGAGGGCAGGAAGTATCCATCACAGGAGGAAGATGTAGGCTGGGAAGCCAGGCTAGTCTCTCTTTTCACATTTTTCTGTCTGCTTATATTCTAGCTGTGCTGGCAGCTGATTAGATTGTGCCCACCCAGATTAAGGGTGGGTCTGCCTTTCCCAGGTTACTGACTCAATGTTAATCTCCTTTGACAACACCCTCACAGACACACCCAGGATCAATACTTTGTATACTTCAATCCAATCAAGTTGACACTCAGTATTAACCATCACAAAAGGGAATCATACAAGTGTCCTTTTGTGTCTGGTTTCTATAACTTAGTCCAATGTTTTCAAGGTTCACCTATATTACAGCATGTATCATTTCTTTTTGTGGCTGAATAATATTCCATTGTATGAATATACCATATTTATTTCTTCATTCACCATTTGATTGGAATTTGCAATGTTCTCACCTTTTAGCTATCATGAATAATGCTGCTATAAACATCAATTTATAAGTTTTTTGTGACATATGTTTTTAATTATTTTGGGCATATACCTAAGAGTGAAATTTCTGGGTTGTGTGGTAACCCTAAGTTTAACTTTGTAAGAAACTGTAAACTGTTTTCGAAAGCAGCTGTACCATTTTACATTACCAGCAATATATGAGGGCTCCACTTTTGTCATATTAAGGACAATTCTTGTCATTGTCTATCTTTTTTATTACAACCATCTTATTGGGGAGTGAAGTAATATTTCATTGTGGTTTTAATTTTAATTGCCCTGATGACTAATAATGTTGAACACTTTCTCATGAGCTTAATTACTATTTAATACCTTTATCAGATAAATGTTTATTCAAATATTTTGCCTATTTTTAATTGTGTTTATTCATCTCTTTGTTTTTTGGTTTCAAGAGTACATTCTAGATACATGTACTTAATCAGAAGTAAATTTTTCCTTCTGTGGGTTGTTTTTCACTGCCCTGATGGTGTCTTTGCAGGACAAATTTAAAAAAAAATTAAATAAAGTCAATATGTTATTTGTTTTTGTTGTTGTTGTTGTTGTTGCTGCTTGTTCTATGGGTGTCATATTTCAGAAGTTATTGCCTCATCTAAGGTAAAAAAGATATGCTTATATGTCAATGTAATATTTTTGTTATTTCAGCTCTTGTATTTAAGAACATGGTATATTTTGAGCCAACTTTTTTTTTTCTTATGAGATAGGATTGCAACTTTATTCTTTTTCTAGATATAGAATTTACCCAGTATCATTTGATAAAAGAATATTTTCTCTACATAGAATTATTTTGTCACCCTTGCCAACAATCAAGTCACAATAAATGTCACAGTTTTTTCTTATTATTTTTATTTTATTAATCTATATATAATCAATATATAATCGATCTTTGCCAGTACCACACTGCTTTGATTGCTGTAGCTTTGTAGTAGACATGAAATCAAGAAATGTGAGTCCTCCAACTTTGTTCTTCTTTATCAAAATTGTTTTGAATAGCCTGAATTGTTTGCATTTATATAAGAAGTTTAGGACAAGTTTAGCAATTTTTGCGAAGTCAGAAGAAATTTTGATGGGGTTTGCATTGAATACATTGATCATTTTAGTAACTATTGTTATTTTAAGAATATTAAATCTTCCAATTTATAATATGACATGTATTTTCAAATATTTTGACCTTTAAATTATTTCTACAGTGTTATGTAACTTTCAGAGTTCAAGTTTTACACTTATTTTGTTAAATTAATGCTAAAGCATTGTATTCTTTTTGATGCTACTGTAAATAAATATATTTTCTTAATATTTTTTGAATTGCTCATTGCTAGTATATAAAAATATAATTGATTTCTATATATTTATATTTTATACTAAATTTGCTGACCTCATTTATTAGTTCTAATAATTTCTTTTGTGTGTCTGTGTTTGTGTAAATTCCTTAGGATTTTCTATAGGCAAGATGATGACTGCCTTTTATTTTATATTCTTTACTGATTGCCCTGTCTAGACCTTCCAGTATAATGCTGAATAGAAGTGAAGACAGTGTACATCACTCTTTTTCCTGATTATAGAAAAAATAAGATAATTCACTTGCACTAGTAAATGTGATGTTTGCTGTATGTTTTTTGTAGATAAACTTTATTAATTCAAAGAAGTTTTCTTCTATTATAGTTTGTTGATTGCTTTTATTCTGAAGAAGTGTTGTATTGTGCCAAACGCTTTTTCTGCATCTATTGATATGATCATGTGAGTTTTGGTCTTTATTTTGTGATATGGAGAAATATGTTTATTATTTTTTTCATATATTGGCACAGTTTTGCATTCCTGGGAAAAATATCACTTTTTATAGGTGTATATAATCTTTTCTTTATGTTGCCGTATTTTGTTTTACTGCTTTTTTTTTCTTTTTTTTACAGATTTTTGTGTTTATAGTAATAAGGCATATGGTCTGTAGTTTGGGTTTCGTTTTGGTTTTCTCTTGTGAAATTTTCATCTGGCTATGGTATCAGGCTAATAATACTGGCCTCTCACAATAAGTTAGAAAATATTTTTCTTCTATTATTTGGAAAACTTTGAGAAAGATTGATGTTAATTATTGTTTAAACATTTGGTTTAATCACATCTGTCTATTTTTGTTTTAATTGCCTGAGCTTTTGGAATCAAACCTAAAAATATTATTGCCCAAACTAATATTATGTCATTTTTCTTTATGTTTTCTTCTAGTAATTTTCTATATTCATGTCTAACTTTAAGTCTTTAATTCATTTTGAGTTGATTTTTGCATATAGTGTGTGATAAGGATCCAATCTCCTTGTTCTACTTGTAGATACCCAGATTTCTCCTTTTTCCATTTTGTATTTTTGGCACCTTTACTGAAAAGCAGTTTACCATAAATGTGTGAGTTTTTTCTGAACTCTCTATTTTGTCACATTGGTTAATATATTTATTTTGATGCCACTACCGTTCTGTTTTAAGTAAAATGACTTTGTAATATAGTTTTAAATCAGGTAGTGTGATAGCTCTGTCTTTGTCCTTTTTGCTCAAAATTTCCTTGGCTATTTAGGGTTTTTCCTGTGTTCATATAAATTTTAAAACTGGTTTTTCTATTTCTTTAAAAAGTTACATTAAAAATTCTATAGAGGTTACATTGAATCTGTAGATCACTGTGGGTATTATGGACATTTTAGCAATATTAATTTTTCTTATTCATGAACTTAGAATATTTTTCTATCTATTTCAGGAAACCTGTCGAGGAAATGTGTAGACAAGGTACAAGGCCAACCCTTCTAAAGGACTTTTATCAGCTCTGTAAAGTCAATCTCAATTTCTCAAGACAGTCAGAACTGAAACTATGCCATTCTGGTCAAAGTCTTGGTAAAATAACCAGGGTTTCCAATGGTTTCCTGCACACACACACACACACACAAACAGATTCTTGTTAAACTTATGTAAATAACTATATTGACATAAATTAAAAAATACTCATAAATAGTTTTAAAATTCTGGAGAAATCAGGTAAAAAATAGGATTCAGATTTGGCTCACAGTAGCATACTTTACTCAATTGTTAAAATCTCCAAATATTTCAAAGAAAAAAGTTTTCTTATATCTGAAACAGAAAAAGAATCAACAATGTTTCAAACAAAAATGTTATAAAAATGATTTAATCAGAAGTCCGGACTGGAGAATTAAAAAATATTATTTCCATTTTCTATTAGTTCAGTCCATGCAATTAACTCCTGTGTTACTCAACATTGGGCCAAGAGTCATGCACACATCAGCATTGCAATGAGATTATTGCAAGTTTTCTCTCTAATCTAGTGGCACAATATCCAAAGTTATCAGAAACCTGCCTTCAAGAGCACCTATCAGAGTCTTTTTCATGAATTCCCCTAAAGAAGCAAGTTTTGGGCTGTAGCTAATCATAAACCACTTTTCTGGGGGGGAAAAATAAGAGTAAAACAATAATTGTTGGTTGATGATAAAAGTCTTAGAACAGTTATAGTTAAAGACACAATCGAAAAGGAAATTTGGCTATTTCTATGGCACAAAGCAATTTAACATAATAATCGTAATTATTACTTATAACGTATACTAAGGCATAAGAATTTTAGGGATTTTGTACAATTTTGTAACAGACATTACTTACACATTTATGTAAATATAATTCACAGAAAGTTAAACTCCATTTCATGTTTGACAATGCTTCCTGAATGATTTAACATATTAAATAAGCAGATATGTCTCTCCTGGACTTCAGGAACACTAATATCCAAAAGCAAATAATTTGAGGTCAAAAGACAGTATAAAAGTTGAAATTTTGATTTAAAAATTATAATATCAGAGGTTTAAAACACTTGATATCAAAAAATTGGGTTACATGTTACTGTAAAATAAGTCACTCACTGAGCCAAAATGGTAATTCAAAGATTTAAAAAGAAAAAAAAACTTTATTTATTGATAGAGAGAAGAAAATTTCCCAAAAAATAAGAGCTGATCAAGATGGTGTGAAGCCAACTGAATCTGTTTCTCCCTGCTCCACTTTATTTTGTTTTTGCAGTTTACTGAAAAGGTACACAAAACTTTTTATTATCTCTTATTTATATTACACAAAGATTTTGTTCAAACGGGAAAAACCATATTCTACCTTTTCATTAGTGTGTTAATGCTAATCCTAGTTTTAATAAAATCTTATAAACAAATCCTTCCAATATCAGTTTGAACACAAGGTAAGATTCTCATAAACCTTTATAAGCTTTTACAATTTTTCCAATTCTTTCTTTACTAACTTTCTATATCCATTCAGTTTTAACCATCATTCTTTTATTTCTTCAATTAAAAAATAATCCTTTAAAAAGCCTCTTTTCTTTCCTTTAAAAAAAAAACATATTCCCATGCATTTTCATAAACTTTTTACCGAAAACACATCTTACTTTTTTTATTTGCTTTGGATACATAATTGTTTCTCTTATGTTTGGTAGTTTTAATTGCATTTATTTGTTATAATGTTAACTGTTAGTAATTCTTATTTTTAGTGAAAAACCTAAGAGGTAAGAAATTGTATTTATATATCACATGCAGAGCACAGGACAAAAGACAGAACTGCAGGTAATACTGACCCTTCACAGCATAGACAGGAGTCACAAATAGGCCAGGGACAACTCCATATGTCCCCAGGCATTTCTATGACAATTTGTGTAGATCCTAGAATGTAATGGCTCTTAGATGGACAAGTTAAAGAATTTTCAAAAATGTCACAAAAGCAGTTTATGACCTTAAAATAGCAAAACAGTATCTGACCTGCCTGACCAATTCAGGCCAAATGTCTACATTAAATTTTGAAGACATTTATTTTTATTTTACCAATAATTTTAAAACAATCTTTATTCACCAAAGTTTACTAAAGTCGCATGAACTAAAAGGCATTTGAGTTAAAGTTTCTATTTTTTGGTAAAATATTTGATTTAAGTACCTACTTTTTTCTTTGAGCCAATAAATTAGAGCTCTTTCGTGTATTCTGATAGTGAAGCATCACATATACATGACATGTATAAACACATAGACATGAAAACACACAGACAGAAGCAGGTGTTACAGATTTATAATATTCTTTATTTGTCAATTTTAAATAGTTTTTTTATTTGCTCTTTTCATTACTTGTTTTACTGCCCTACGATTATTAGCTAGGCAATCCTAATTTTTGTGTTTTTAAAGCACAACTCTTAGATGAAACAAGGTAGAAAATGTACACCTCAAAGCATGTAAAGAGACAGAATTTAAGCCTTTGTAAAAAGTTTGGATGGGTTATAGGATGATTTCAAAGTGGACTCCAAGGTAACACAAAATTGTAGAAATTTACCATAAGATTTATAAAAAGACCAATTTAATTCACATAGGTTGTTTTCAATTTAGTCTCTATCTTATAACTGGATCACTGCTTATAATGCCATTATACATACCAAGTTCAAGTTTTTTAATAATACAAAGTAATTTCTGGTACCCCCCCGAAAAGCTAAAAAGACAAGATAATGCAATGCAAAAGAGACTAAAGAATGGTAAAAAAGGAAACATAAATAGGTGAAGTAAGAATAAATATTAATAAGAGAACAATTTTCAAGAAAGAAAGTGAACAAAGTGACCACGCACATAATTTTTAAAAAGTTTCAGTCAATTAAAAAAAAAAATCCCCAAAACAGGATCTAAAAAGATAAAATATATAAAGGCCTTTTACATTGTTAAATAATGTTTAGCTTAAAGTTACCTCCTTACATATTTTAAGTCCAGCCTAAATTATTTTCTGTGCACTGTGAACTATAGCAAATGGAGGTGTAAGCACACCATAGACCACACCTGTGCCAATCACTGAGTTTTGGCCAATCATAAGTAGCCAGCTGTTTGAACCATGTTCAAATAAGGCAAACACCAAGCTATAACCAATCCAGTTGTTTCTGTACCTCACTTCCATTTTCTGTTTGCACCTCACTATTTTTTTTCTGTTTGTAAATCTTCTTCCACCGCATGGCTGCACTGGAGTCTCTGAGCCTCCGCTGGCTCATAAGGCTGCTGGACTCATGAACTGTTCATTACAAAATTAATGTTTTAAAAATTTAATTCAGGTGAAGTTTTTCTTTTATCAGATGGTGTCAGAAGCAGGGTCCCAAGTAGAGCTTCTAACAAACCCTAGGAGTCCTGGGCGACCAAAGCGAGGTAGCTGCAGAACCCATTTGTGTCCATTGATCTCTTGGAGCAGCTGGGGATCATGGTAAGTTCTCGCTCAGATTTCAGAGCTCTACAGATTTGTGTTTTGAGCTGTTCAAGTTTCTTTGAGCAAATTTCTGATCCAAACTGGGTTTAGAAGTTGTGACAGAAACTGGCCTGGGTCCAGGGCTGGATTAGATCCAGTAATTAACTGGCTTGGTTCCAGTTAGAGGACTCTTACATCTGACTGGGTCAGAAAGAAACTGGTAGTTAAGTGGTAATATTTCAGGATGTGTAATATTTGGCTTTTGAAAATTCACAGGGATTTTTATGTTCTACCCCCCTGTTTCATTATTATTACAGGCTTAGGTAGGAAAAAAGTCATTGGCTATGTTAATCAAGGGAACCTGAGAGTAAAGCCAATATCTTAGGTAAAAATGGGATCCTTAATTTCTGAAGAGATCAGTTTTTTTCTGGCTCATACGTGCATAAGTGTTAGGCCCCAAAAGCTCCAAAGTCTCACAGAAATGGCAAAATCTTACTAAAGTTAACTTAGCCTGGAACGTTCCAAATGAACAAAACTGCAATGAAGTGCATTTGGAAATGAGGTCTCCCAAATTAGTCCTATCTAGAGATGACTCTTGATATTCAGAAGCTTCTAAAAAGATTTCAGTATTTTTATTTAAACACTTTATGAAAGGCAAATAATAAGCTTAAGTGACTAATTGATTAAATAAATAAAATCTACTAACCTTTTAGCTTAGTTACTATCCTCATCCAAAGGAAATAGACTGCAGCACCAATTGGCTGACTTAGGTTAAGTAATGGGGTATATTTTACATGGGTAAAGGATGGAATTGGGTTAGAGAACCTCCCTTCAATAAAGTCTCTCTTTGTAAAAATAGATTTGGCACTACGGGATGTTAACTGCTATTCTCTTTGGATTAATCTGCCTTGTACTTTTTTTCTGACAGCTATGAGCGACAGGATTAGGCATGAATAGGACCATGGAACATGGAGAACTTTTTCTCTTAAAAAAAGAAAACTTGAGAGCAGATGTGACTGCTGGAAAAGATCCCTTCATGACCGACAAGCAGCTGCCTGAATTTTTAATTCAGTATTGCATTGGGTGGGTCTTTCTCTGGCCTCCCTGAGCTCCTTGACTTCCCCACTCTACCACAGGCAATGTTTTTCTTTTTTTCTCTCCTTTCCCTTTCCTATCTTTTCTGTTACTCAGGGCAGCCATCTTGCCCAGAGACCACATGTTAAATCTCCTGGTGGGTGGTTGGATTAAACGTGACAGGGCCAAACTGGGGGCAAGTTTGGGCATTGCCAATTTGATATTGGGTGCTAAGCAAAGTGGCTAATGTTTATAATTTGTCGCATGTATTTTACTCTGGCCGAAATTGAACATGTTAATTTGGTTACTCCATGCCACCCTTTGGACAGCGTCTTACAAAATTGACAGGCTTTTGCCTGTGGTTCAATGAAACAGAAAGAAAAAAAAAAAAGATTTTCTTTTGTGTTGCATCTTGGCCCCCAGAGCTATAGTGTGGCTGCTCAGGGAGGGGGAGGCGAGAAGCTTGGCAAGCTGGCAAAAGGGTAAGAATTTATTACTAGTCAGACTTCTGGCCTCTCTCTCTCTGTGCAAACTGGCTGAGTGAATGATAAAAACAAATCACTGTTTATCTCCTCTGTAAAGTTTTGATTAATGTGATAAAGGATTCTGAGGCTATTCTTAAGCTGTAGCATATCTGGTGTGCTTTGTGTGTCTTTCTGTATGGTCCTGTCATAAAGATAAGTACCTTAGGATAGAATATGGGCTTAGGACCCCGCAAGCTTGCTATTCAAGACAACCCAGAAAACTGTTCAGTAACAAACTTTACTGCAGGTCCCTGAAACAAAAAAGAAACTGGATGGGGTCTCCATCTTGTTTTATGACCTTGGGAGCTTGACCTTGTAACTAAGTGGCAGCACTTTCTCTTGGTTTCTGCCATCTAGGAAACAAGGATTTTGGGGTTCATGTCATAGTTAGCTCTAAAAATTACCTTGAGTAGATAAAAGCCTTTGCAAACTCAAAATTGACTGCTTTAGACTCCTTCTGGGAAGAGCAATGGAAACTGCCCAGTGCTGTAATTCAGCAGCTAATGCTTTGCCATTTTACAATGGCAGTCCAGGTTCAATTCTAGCGTAGGGAATGAGCACTTACTGGGTGATATCTATTCGACCTTTACCATTCGTTGATTCTCTTTTCCTCCAAGAACAACTTCTAGCTTTCCTTCTTATTTTTTTTTTTCTGAGCTACCCTTGAAGATTCTAAATTGTGTAAAAATGATTTACCACCCTTTTGAAAATATTTCATACACTCGTGATTGAGTCAGAACCTTAGTTGAAGTTTGTTTCACTTGTGAGGTTACTTTTGGTGAACTTAAAAGGCCAGAAATATGGACCATTTGGCCCAGGTAAAGTAGTATAATAAATAATTTAAAGGGACAGTTTCTTACAGAGCACTGTGGTTAAAAGTCAGCTTAGTTAACAGTGGATGTCCAAGCTGTATGTGTATTTAAAAGGCCTTTATGTTTTTTTTTCCTCCTTCTTGGATTTTATTTTTCTGAAGAAAAAAGGGTTTATTTTCTTCTCAGTCAACTGAGTTTTTTTCTCCACTTTGTCTTCTTGCTACTCAATGTACACAAGACAGGAACTAAGATAACTTCTAATAGCCTGGGACTCCTTGGGGAAAAGAGAGAAGGCTCCATAGATCCCATTTTGAGAAAAATCTCTGTTTTCTTCATGAAACCCCAGGAATTGGAAGTGGATAGATCCCTCTCAAAATCTAAGGCTCTGTTTTGTTTTGCATTGTATTATTTCATGGTTTTGAGTTTTGGGGATATCAGAAAATACTTTGCATTCTAACTAGGTGGAAAATACACTTTTAGAAATGGCTATTGGCTGCTAGGGAGGATACTCAGCTCTTTACACATCCGGATTAGAGAAACATGCTCTTGGCCACCTAGAAGGTATGAAGATATCGCCACTCCCCACTGAGAGATGCCACTCCCCACTGACAGATAAGACTCCCGTGGGAGGATGGATTGATTGCAAAATGGGCTAAGTGGCTTTGGGTTGTCATGCAATGAAATGCATGGTAAAAGCGTTGCACTTTCTTCTCCCATAGCATTTCCTTCTTTTTGAGAATCCAGGATGTGATATAAAAATGGGGCCATTAATTTTGGAAAACTTTGTCTTCCAAAGAAGCCTGCTTATTAGGCCCTAAGAACTGCATGACTTTCCTGGCCCTGTTCCCTGAAGAACTCCACCGTGACACCAGTAATCCAATTAAGAAACTTAAAAACTGGCAAATAAAAAAATCTTACAACTTCTGGATCTTCATCTGTCTGTCTGTGTAGTTATATATGTGTTGTATATGTGACGTTCATATAAAAAAGCTCTAATTAATTGGCTTGAAGAAAAATAAGCACTTAAATCAAATATTTTGAAAGAAAAATGAAAACTGTAAAGCCTTTTAGTTCATGTGACTTTAGTAGCCTTTGGAAAATAAAAGCAGTTTTAAAAAGATTATCGGTAAAATAAAAACACTTGGTCTAAGTTAGGCAAGTCAGATATTATGTTTGCTAGATGCTTTAAGGTTATAAACTGCTTCTTTCACTTTTGAAAATTGTTCAACTTACCTGCTTTATAGCTAGGTAAGGCCTGGGGACATGTGGAGTTAGCCATGCCCCTAACTATGCTGAAAAGAGTCAGACCTTATCTGCATTTTTGTATGTCACTTTAGGCTCCAAAACTAGTAAATAATTAAAGTCACTTACCAGGTTTTTCACCAAAAATTAAAATTGGTAAGAGGTAACATTGCAATATGTAATTGAGACTACTGAAAAACAGTTTTTTTTGTTTTTTTTTTCTATACTTTAAGTTTTAGGGTACATGTGCACAACGTGCAGGTTTGTCACAGATGTATACATGTGCCATGTTGGTGTGCTGCACCCATTAACTCATCATTTACATT
Source organism: Homo sapiens (assembly GCF_000001405.40). Lineage (NCBI taxonomy): Eukaryota > Metazoa > Chordata > Mammalia > Primates > Hominidae > Homo > Homo sapiens. Next base: position 89,077,131 of record NC_000023.11, on the reverse strand, counting down.
AGGTATATCTCCTAATGCTATCCCTCCCCGCTCCCCCCACCCCACAACAGGCCCCGGGGTGTGATGTTCCCCTTCCTGTGTCCAAGTATTCTCATTGTGAAAAACAGTTTTACATGCAAGATGTGTAAGGAAAGCAAAATGTGCTTTTAGTAAAACATTATAAGAAGGCATGAGAATGTACATTTTTGCCCACTTAGAGGATTAAAGGATTGTTTTAAATTCGATAGGATAAAGCTAAAGGTTTGAGCAAGTTATGAAAGGTTTCTGAAATATTAATTGTAAAAGGGATTCTGCGTATGAACATATGGGCTGAATTTAAAGAGCTATAATTCAGTTTTTTCTGTAAACTGAACATTGGAATAAAAGCACAACAGGGCTTACTTAGAGCACTGATCTGCTCTTTACAAAAACTTGTAAAGGGTTATAAAAAGTTTATTAAAATTTCACCTCATGGTCAAACTGATTAAGATTGATGGATTTGCCTATAAGGTTTTATTAAAGATTGGGGTTGACATTAATAGTACAATAATGCAAGGATGAAATTTGGCTTTCTCTCTTGAACAAGATTTTCATGTAATATTAAAGGATAATGAAAGATTTTTGTCTGACTTTTGAATAAACTACTGAAAAAAGGCGAAAGACAAGAGACAGATTGTTTGGAAAGCTAAGTCTTTCCTCTATCAATCAATAAAGTTAACAATAATGTCTAACCTCCTTCAGGTTATATTTCAGTGAACGACATTCATATATGTTCCAAAATCGTATGAGATTTCTAAAATTCTGATATGTCTGAGAACATGCTATCAATCGTAATTATGGTTATGTTAATTTATTGTAAACTACAGAAATAACCAAATTTCCTTGTCAATTTTGTCTAACTTTGACAATTTAAAGTCATTTCCACGGGTAATTGCTTAATGCTGATGCAGTTTCTAAAAATATCACAAGCATGCAAAATTCTAAAATATGGTGTCTTTTAGGAGGTTTGTGAAAGGATGAAAAGGACACCAAAAAGCACTCTTGAATACAGGTTTCTGATCACTTTAAAATTGTATCATTTTGGGCTTCTTGCTAAATCAGACAATACTGAAATTGTGTATATATACAATTTGAAGGAACTCCATGGTCCAAGTCAGATGACCTATGATAATCCATCAGTTATCAGTGCTATACACCTAAATTGGAGAAACAACTGGTATTCAAGTGGACATAAGTCCAATGTTAAGCATGAACTCATGGAGAACCATGATGGCTGCCTTGTCTTTCCTGAGCCTTTAAAATTTTATTAAAAGTTCTGCATTCAATGACTTATACTGGAAAAGATAAAATGATAAAATAGTTTATGACCAATGTTTGTTTTGTCAAACCCATATTCCCGGGAAGACAATCAAAGCTTTAGGTACATTCAGCTACCTGATGGGCCATTTAAATATTTATGGAGTGATTTTATTAAATTGTCATTTTCAATGCATGTTTTCTGGTTGTATAAAAGCTTTCCCATGCAAGAAGGCTGATGTTATAATAGTAAATTATTATGTCACAGTGTATTTTTACCAGGTAAAGGAAGCTTTTTATGGTTCACTGAGGAAAATCAGCTTTTTCACAATCTAGAACCCAAAGATTGGATTTTCTGAGAACATCAGAGAAAGAGTGCCCTTGCCACTCACACTGCAACAAAACTCCAGGACCTTGAACCTTGGGTTCATAATCTCACAACTGAGAAGGATCCCTCCATATTCTTGGAACTGTACACTCATTGGAACCCTTAAGGTAAAGCTAACAAGGAATGTTTCTCTTCAGAAGAAGATGCATCCTTTATGTGAATAGCTTTTTCCAAGATCATGAATCAAGGCTTCTCTACTATCATGAGACTCTTATCTTCAAATATTTTTCCCTTGCTTATGCCTCTATGAACAATAGAAGTGAAAAAGGGGGCTGTTGTATGCACTTATGAGGTATACTTTTATTTGTGAAGGATTTTGCAGCCAGCCTTATATGTGGATAACGTTATACCTTGATACATGAAAGATGAAGGCCCAATGGAGGTGAGAAACTTTAATGGTACATAAATTGCCTCATAATTAGTCAGAAACAAACATTGTTTCACTCCTCTTAACCCACATCATGAGTTAAAAGAACATTGCCAGAAGGCTTTCAGTCTTCTAGAAGGGCTTCATTTGTTAGGTCATTTTTCCATGGTTTGGAGTAAAAGAAACAATGATTAGCAATGTATCCCTCATGATAGGCTCCATAGCAGGTGCTACTGTAAAGGCTATAGTTACACGAAAGACTTTAAATACTCTTGTGAAAGTTGTGCTAAATAATAGAATTACTCTAGATTACTTACTGGCTAAACAGAAGTACTTATGCAGCTGCTGGCACTTATGGCCTATGGAGAAAATATTAGGTATTATACAGATTTATGTGTAGGGGATTAACAAAGAGACTGCTTAGTTAAGTGAGTAGACTCTTTATCTAGCTCATTCTTTGATCTATTTGATTTTAGGTGGTTTGGATTATGGGGACACTGGATAAAAATAATACTCCAAATTCTTGGTATTATTCTCCTAATAGTCATAAAAGTAGTCTTCTTGGTGTGCTGTTCTCTCAAAGGTTTTAAATGTTTAGATGCAGCCATCTCTACAATGTCAAATGGTCTCTTTTCAACTGGAATGGCAAGAGCTGAAAGAAATGTGTGACCATGAGGACACTATAATCTATGAATGACATGCTGGCACCAGAAACTCAAAATGATGATAACTGAGAGTGGCACTAAGACCCTAAGTTTTGGTCACACTCTCAGAAAAGTGAGAACCCGACCAAAAAGGGGGGTTTTTTAAAACAAAATTATGGGAGGCTGTTGTTTTGGACTGAGCTCATGCACTAGGCCCCAACAGACCAAACCAAACTAAAATGGAATCGCTCTCGCTCAATATGACATAATCAAACTAAGACTTAAAGGGAACACATAGGTCCTAGAACAGACCGGCTTTTGTTTTTCTCCTGTAAACAGAATGTTCTGGCATAAGGAGGTACCCTCTACTCAGTCCTTGTTCCCACCTTGCAAAACCCACTGTTTTACTGTTTCCCAGTGGGTTGCAAGACCAAATAAGTACATTTAAGATGATGATAGTAATATCATTGTCTAAAGTTTTAGTCAATTTCTCAAAATTCAGAAAATTTCCTAAAGGGGGAATTGTTAAATCAAGCTTAGCCTAAAGCTGTGTCCTTACATATTTTGAGTTTTGCATATAGGTTTTTCTGTACATTGTGAACTATAACAAGTAGAGGTGTAAACAGACTGTAGCCCACACCTGTGCCAATCACTGAGTTTTGGCCAACCATATGTAGCCAACTGTTTGAACCATGTTCAAATAAGGCAAATGCTGAGTTGTAACCAATCCAGTTGTTTCTGTGCCTCACTTCTGTTTTCTGTATGTCACTTTCCCTTTTCTGTCCATAAATCTTCTTCCACCATGTGTCTGCGCTACAGTCTCTGAGCCTACCATGGCTCAGAATGCTGCCCGATTCGCAAATAGCTTATTGCTCAATGAAACTCCTTTAAGTCTTTAAATTTAATTTGTCTGTAGTTTTTCGTGTGTGTGTATACTTGGATATCAACTTTTAATTAAATTGACTTCTAACTGTAGATCTCTGTGAAAATGAATAAACAAATAAATTAATCTCTTATTACCTGATTTTACCTGGGGCAAACAGCTGGCATTTGTGGCTTTTAAACTTCTTTACCAAAGTTATTCTACAAATGAAACTAATAAGCTTTAACCAGAGTTATGACTTAAACAAGGACATGTGAAGTCTCCAAAGAGAGGCAAAGCAGTCCTCATAAAATTCAGAATCACCCCAAAACAAAACGCAGTTCATAATTCTGTTGTGCCATATTCTTGAGGGTATCAGCTTCTCAGCTTATCATCTACATACACAGGTCAAAAAGCCCCATATGCCCCCACAGACAGAAGATAGGAAATCAAAATCTGTCCATGGAAATGAAAAGCATCAATAAATGGCAAAAGGCACACAAATATCAAACCAGAAAAGACTCATTCCCTGGCCAGAAATCAAACCAAAGCCAGCACTGTAAAAGGGCAGCACCTTAGCTACTGGCAGATAGCATAGGGAGGTCTCCATTGCTGTTCCCAGAAAGAAACTGATGAAGGAAGTTTTAAGCTTACAAAGAATTTTAACTTTTTTTAGGTCATACTTTTGTTCCTTAACTTAGACAAGAGAATTCTAAAGGCTAAGCATGACACTATTATGTGTCCTTTTAAAAAAAAGATTTTTTTCATCAATTGTTTATGTAAACCAAAAATAAAATTTGAAGCACCTCAAGTGACTGAATGGAATCCTCTCATGGCCAAGGGAACCCTAAGAAATCTGAAAAAACTAGTTCATTCCACGATGGCAAGGGAGAATCACACATGACTTCTTATACTCTTCTTCCTTTGAAGCTCAGGTACAAGTGACCAGCATTAATACTAAAAAATAGACCTTAAGACTGACAAAACAGGCTCTTTGTAACAATAAGATACCAAATTCCCAATTGACTCTAGTATAACATCACATGACAGACAAATAAAGAAAGAAAAATATTTTACTCAAAAATATGTGTCTTTGTCACATTTTAAAATGGCCCTGAAAAACCTTTTGTGGGCAAAAATGTGCATCTATAAATGACATATATTAACATAGCTAGATCTTTCCCCATTCAGGCCTTCCCAACCCTGAAGAGATTAACTCAGAGTCTAGCATCATTTAAAGGTAAAAACAGAAAATATTTGTCATCTATTGTTTCTAAAGACAGCCATCTATGAGGCATCATATACATAATAAGAACCATAGTTTCCACAACTCTTTATCTTATTAACCCAGACATTCTTTGTTATTTATTCCAGGTCTTTAGATAATAACTTAACTCTTTCAACCAATTGCCAATCAGAATATTTTTGAACCCACCTATGACCTATAAACCCTCACTTGGAGTTGTCCAGCCTTTCTGGACTGAACAAATGTGTACCTCATATGTATTGACTAATATCTTATATATCTGAAACAACTTTTGAAAAAAAATTATAACAGAATATTTTTACACTTTAAGTGATTTGATCTAACCAACTCCATCTTGCTTTTAACCTCCAACCTGCTCTTGGTCATTCCTGGGTGTGGGCCAAGTTAATTTTGGGAGAAATTTTGTTTATAGTTTAAATGATAATAGCCCTCACAAAACTGAATCATCTTTATAAAAACAATAAAGTCCACAAGGTTAGAATTATAAGAGTGACCTGAATTCTGTTAAGATATAGGCATTGTTAAATGATTAGCAGCGACTGTCCCAGAAGTCACAAGATTTGGAACTTCCTCAATTATTCCTGTAAATAACATCATGGTTGTAGAACCTAAGATTGACCTTTTGAAATGTGTTTCCAGACTTCTGCATTTCCAATGATCAGATGACTCCACAGGGACCTGAAACTGCCTTTGTAAAATTATGACAGTAAGAGAAACCTGACGTAGTTGGCCCCATCTTGCTTCTTATCTCCAAGATGTAATTCATCACTTCTGGGTATAGGTCAAGCTAACACTGGGAGGAATTTAGTTTTTAGTTTAACTTAAAAGCAAGTCTGTCTCTAACACTAACCCCAAAGCTTGCTCAGGAATTGAAACCCACATTTATAAGACTAATGAAAGTCCACAAGAACAGGATTATGAGAGGAGCCTGAACTCTGCTAAAATGTAAGTGTACTTTCTACAATCCCTTACTGCTCAGGAGTCATGTGGCCAGAAGTCACAAGATTCGCGACTTCTCCAATTGCTCCTATAGATAACATCACTCTTGTAGAACGTAAAATTGTTTTCTTTTGTTTTGTTTTTGAGGTATCTTTCAGAATGATTCTACCTGGACTTCTGACTCATTACTCAACTGATCCTGTGGCCCCACCCAGATTCCAACTCGGGGCATGAGGACTGTTTTGGACACCCCTATGAGTTCATCCCCAATTAATCAGCAACACCAATTCTCTAGCTCCCTGCTGACCAAACTGTCCATAAAAACCCTAACATTCATGCCTTCAGAAAGACTGATTTGAGTGATAACTCCAGTTCTCTCAAGGAGGCAGTCCTTGTGTCCATTCAACTTTCTCTATTGTAATTCCCCTAACTTGATAAAGCAACTCGATCTGGGCAGTGGGCAAGATGAACCTGTTGGGTGGTTACATCTCCCTAAAACATATAAAGCCAAGTTATAACCCAACCACCTTAGGCACATGGTCTCAGGACCTCTTAAGATTGTGCCTCAGGCCATTGTCACTCATATTTGGCTGAGAATAAGCCTCTGCCTCTTTAAATATCTTACAGACTGTGGCTTTTTATAACCAATATTTAGAATAAGACATCGCTAACATCCTTTCTAATTTAGCATTTTAGTCTAATTTAAGGGACCTTGTGGCCACTGTAAATTAGAATTTATAATTGCACACTTAATTTCAATAGCAACTCAATCCAAAAGTCTGTCATGTAAAGCCCAAGTGAATTTCCAGGGTTTTTACCATATTTCCTGGAATGGCATACATAAGACAGTCCACAAGATCCCCCAAAACTTACTCTCAGAAATAGACTTAAGAGAGTAAAGATGATAAAATTTTCGTAGGGATGGTGCCTTTTAAGACAAAATTTCCCTAAGAACTTAACGTTCAGAATGAAAGTGTGTGGCTTAAAATCTTACTTATCCTGCATGCCCAATCTTTTCAGGATGGCTGCTTGAGTTGACCCTGAAAACTGATACCCTCTGGCTGGCATACACTAAGACAGTATCCCCACTTAGTCACAAATCAAGTTTTCAAGGACAAAAGGCAAGATGAGAGGAAAACCTCATCAGCTTTTATTTCAGGGACCCACAGAAATGCTTGTCTTAACAGACTCTGGTCTAGTCATAATTGCAAAGCTGATTAGTCTGCAGGACTGGCTCATCCAGCAGGCTTCTAGGGGTTCCAGGCCTGTGTTCTACCCTATGGTACTCCTCTTTATGGCAGAATGGCACAGAAAGACAAAGACAAAGGAAAATGACCACAAAAAGAATTTAATTCTGATAAGTAAAGCATCGAACAATGTGAGCATTCATACTACAAAGTACCAAAAGTACAGCAGAGTCACTACAACCCAAGACTAATCACATAAATGCTTTTTTCCCAGTAATGAAAACCTTGAGACAAAACTGATTTTTACCTTCTGCTCAACTAGATTGCACAGCGAGAGAGAGAGACTGGGAGCCTGATTGGTAAGAAGTCCTTACCCTTTTGCTGGCTTGTCAGGTTCCTGAGTTCTCTTCACTGTAGCTTTAATAAGAGCAGAGCAACTTTATCTTGCTCATAGTACCATACTGTGAGTGCCATAGGCTCTTGGCTCCCTAAAGGTTTGCTAAAACATCCCTGACATGAGACAGATTAATTAATAAGAGAAAAGGCATACAAATTTACTTAATATGTATACGTGGGAGCCTTCAGAATGAAGACTCAACTTTTTAATGAGTAACAGAAGCTTATACACCGTCTTGAGGTTACAGAAAAAATGGGGGCTTGGAGCCTGGTAAAACAGGTTATGAAAAGGGGAAGAAGAGGTATTGAGGGGAAAGGTCAGAGAGACCCTGAGGCTTCTTCTTCTGTTCAGCATTTCAAAATGTCATATTTTGGGATGGTGGTTTCTGAGCCCCAACAGGAGTAAGTCTCAGCAATCTTTTAAGACTTAGGGAAGGGGCAGTAAGAATAAGACCTTTTAAATTTTGATTAAGAGATACCATGAAAAATTGTGAAAGCCCACCTTTGTTTCATTCTCAAACATGAAAAGGACTGCATGAAACACACCCAGTTGTTTCTTCCTATGTTTGTATCTGAACAGTAACAAGCTCAGTATAACCCTGAAAAAGTGTTTCATCTACTGTATTATAAGTAAAATCAGACACTTTTGAATTGTGAACTTTTTTGCAACAAAAGAAATAGCAACATATTCAGATAATGGAAAACAATCACCAGTATCATTCTTGCCTTAAAACAATGTTACCAGCATACAAAGATCCAAAAAAGTGTAGAAAACAGCTCAGAAAAAAAAAATTTCAATCAACCAGTTTCAATTATTGTGCTTTTATTACATCTGAAAAAGTGTGGAAGCCTCCACTAACCCATATGTAATTGTAACTCAAAGGGTGGTTTTGCAAGGCATGGTGGCTCATACTTGTAATCCCAATGATGTTAGATATTTTTGTAGTACTGTAGTACAGTACACAGTCTCACTTTCCTCAGTTTCAGTTACTCATGGTCAACTGTGGTCCAAAAATATTAAATAAAAAATTCCTGAAATAAACATTTCATAAGTTTAAAATTGTACACCATTCTGAGTAACATAATGAAATATTTTCTGGGACATAGATCATCCTTTTGTCCAGTATATCCACACTGTAGACGATACTTGCCTCTTAGTCACTTAGTAGCTGTCTTGGTTATCAGACAAAAAAATATACTGTATAAAGGGTTCAGTACTATCCACAGTTTCAGGCATCCACTGGGGATCTTGGAATGTATCTCTGCAAATTAGGGAGAACTATTTTCACTAATATTGTCAAAACAATCAAGCATGTGATTAGTAAACTTGCCTCCTTCAACAGGATGTAGATCTTTTGGGATATTGTCTTATGTATGTCTAAAGTGCATATAGCATGAGTTGCTTACTAGGCAGGAGCAGCTGCGACACAAAAGATAATTATATTTTAAGGTTAATTTCCCAAATGAACCCAACAGTATATAAGAATCTGAAAAAATATTTATTTATATTTATAAACTTCATTTTAGTAATCCATTAACATTTAATAAAGACTGAATATTTTTATGGTTTCAACATTACTAGCTAGATTAGAAAATTAAAATTTATATTCTTTTTCTTTTTTTGAGACGGGGTCTCACTCTGTCACCAGGCTGGAGTGCAGTGGCACGATCTCGGCTCACTGCAACCTCTGCCTCCTGGGTTCAAGCGATTCTCCTGCTTCAGCTTCCCGAGTAGCTGGGACTACAGGCGTGTGCCACCACGCCCAGCTACTTTTTGTATTTTTTAGTAGAGACGGGGTTTCACTATATTGGCCAGGATGGTCTCAATCTCTTGACCTCGTGATCTGCCCGCCTTGACCTCCCAAAGTGCTGGAATTACAGGCATGAGCCACCGCACCTGGCCTAAAATTTATATTCTTTACATTTGACTTCAATACACTGATGATAAAACAAACTTTACTAATCTTTTTTGTTAAGAAAAAGTACGTTTTTTTTTCTGGATGTGGTTGCTGTTATAAACTAAATGTTGATGATGGATGTGATCTTAGAAAAATAAATAAATAACCAGTATAGTCTGTAGTAGTTTTGCTTCAAAGTGTGCTCCTTCATATATCGAGTTCAGTGTTTTAGCCATAATTTATTGCGAAGTACTAAAACTATAATATATAGCTTGTAGAGATATACTGGCTTACTAAGCAATAAAACCATCAAAATTTAGGTAGCATTTATATAAAAACCAAAAGAGATAATATCAAAATCAACATCTTTTAAAGAAAGAGTATTGTGTAAAAAATTGATAGATGCAGATAGTCAATATTTTACACATAAATACTAGTATTTATTTTAATATAGAACTTAAGACTACTAAGACTGGAAATATATGCATCTGCTGAAATATTGTTAAAATACTGCATCAAAGATGGTTGCTTAAAATGTTTGGCAGATATGTGACCAAAAAAGGCATCATTTTTCTATAACACTATAGCTCAACATACTCAGGAAATGAAAAATGACATAGAAGGCTAACTTAGAAAATACATACAGCTAGCTAAGTATTTGAAGTACAACTTGACAAAGGCACAAATTGATAGCATGGGAATTTTTTTCAAGAATGTAAAATTTGACCATAATAACAATATGAAAGAAGATTGTTTTTTCCCATTTCCTTGCTGATGAACACATCTACTTTGAACTACATAAGTCTACGAAAAAAAGCACATTATCAGTAAATGTGACTTAGAGTTCAAATTTTATCTAAGAGTATATTCTGTTGGAATAGCTAAAATGGCAGGAATGTATCCAGATTAAAGTGCTGGCTTCTGAATTTAAACGAATTTCCATCACTGAGAAAGTTTTGCTACAAAAACTGGTCAGCTGAACCAAATAGTTTGCTCAGTGAAGTAGTAAAAAAAGTGAATTACATAAAATTAATGTTATACATTCAAGATTATTATCTTTATTGTGTGAAAATTTATTAGCTAATCATACACAATCGTGTTGCATACTAAGGTATAGTTATTACTAAACACAATCTCAGTGTTTCTGCAAGGTTAAAAAAGTGGTTTGGTTCAAAATATTCAAAGAAACAAATTGGACAGTCAGGCTTTCTCATTTATTTTATTTATCTGATAAATTTAATCATTAAACAATTTCCATAGAAAGAAAGGAGAGAACATGTATTTCAGTGGCAGTTAAAATCAAAGGGCAAAAGAGAAAGAACCCTGAAAGAGTAGATTGTCCAATAAGAACGTTCCAGACTTAGGTAAGGAGAAACTTTATTCAAAAAGACTACTACAGGCGGGGCACAGTGGCTCATGCCTGGAATCCCAGCACTTTGGGAGGCCGAGGCGGGTGGATTACCTGAGGTCAGGAGTTCGAGACCAGCCTGACTAACATCATGAAAACCCGTCTTTAATACAATTACAAAAAAATTACCCGGCGTGGTGGCAGGCACCTGTAAGTAATCCCAGCGGCTTGGGAGGCTGAGGCAGGAGAATCACTTGAACCTGGGAGGCAGAGGTTGCAGTGAGTGCAGATTGTGCCACTGCATTCCAGCCTGGGCAACACAGTGAGACTCCATCTCAAAAATAAAAATTAAAAAAATAAATAAAATAAATAAATAAAAAAGACTACTACAATAGGAAGAACTCTCCAGATCTCAGGTATCTGCTGCAAAGGTCTCAAAATCAAACAGAAAACACTTTTTCTTTCTTTTATAGGGAGAGGTAAGCAGTACAGTACATAAGGAGACATTGGACAAATGAGGGAGACCGGGTTGACTACAGGATATTTGAGGTTTAACAGGAAATGCATTGCACTGTGGTTAACTGATTCTCCATAAACTGCTAAAGGAAGCAGGCTCTGCACTTGAGTGCTTGCTCAGGTTTAGAGGCAAACCAAAGTTAAAGGGCTTTTGGAGAGGAGAGAAACTGACTGATTGGTCAGGAAAAAAAACAACAGAAAAAAGAGGATTATAAATCGGATATAATGAGCGCTTGGCCAAAAGTTTTATAGATTATTATGCTGTGCTACGCAATTGGACAATTATCAATAAGGAGATGATGATCTCCATATTGCACATTTATAAAAAGGTACCACCAAACACATCACAAATTAGGTAGAATGTGCTGAATTTCATATTCCTTCAGAAGAAAATCCATACAGAGAAAATTCGTAAATTTGAAAAATTTTAAATTCTTTTCTTTCCTTGAGAAATAATTTCAACCTATCAAAAGCTTTATAATATAAATTGGTGGATCTGGCTACCGATGAAGGTTTTAAGAAAATTTTCAAAATATGCTCTTTTTGGCCTTGTTATGTATAAAACTTAAATGTTAGTATCTGAAGTTTGCTGAAATTTTTAAAAATTTCTCTTCTATTCCCTTCAACATACATCTATGAGACTTATTCTTTACTATGAATGTTATTAAAATAAAGTGTACAAACAGTTTAGATATGCATTATCCCATGACTAGTGTTGTCAAACCAAATTAGATTAAACAATATGCACACTACTGCTTCACATTAAAATATTTAAAATTGATAACCAAGGTATTAATTCAAACTGTGTGTATAGGCATTTAATATTCAGAACTGCTATTATAATCATTTTTTAAAACTTTAGACATAATTGTGAACTAATAAGTTTTAAGTTTAATAGGGAGACTTTATATTAATTGATCATATGCACATTTTCAATGGACAATGTACTTTCTTGATTCTCTATTTTATATATGTTCTAATTATATTATAGAAATGTAATTTTATTTTTGCTTAATATAAAGTTTTGAGCTTGTACTTTGTACAGTATGTATTTTATATTTTCTATTTTATTTTACAAAGACTAAAAATAAAAATAAAAAATTTAAAACTTACAAAAATATTTGTCATCAATAGGTTACATTGGTTAAATAACAACTACAGAAACAACAAAAACCCTGGTGCTTCAGTGCCTTCAGGCTCAGGAGCACTGATAGAAGACGTCTTTACATGAGTTAGAAACAGTCACCTTGTCTGGTCAGATGCAGTCTATCACCAGAATAACAGGTTTAGCAGGTGGAATGAGAATTGGATTTCACCTCCACTCCTCCAACTCCCAATATCCTGTTAAAAGGAAGAGCCTGTGCAGTTTTACCCAGCCCTGCATAATGTATATGTTCTATGAGAAATTTGACAATCGTGATCATTTCGGAGGACATATTTTTTGTTCTTGTTCAAGTTGTCTTACTTATATTTCCTCTGACCACAGAGTTTAACTTTGCCACAAGTGTGGCTAAACCACTAGAAAAGCACCTTGTAGAATTGTCATTGTGCAGCTGCCTCTGTGCTGATGGTTAGTTGAAAGATAGTAATAAGTGTTGACGTCAGACTCTTTCACTGCATTGCACCAGAAACAAGGAGTCTGAAATGAACTTGGATCAAACTTAGATAGCAGATTCTGGAAATAAATTATTAGATACATGGTCTAAGCACATAAAAGATTTACAATCAAACCATGTTTAGTGTTTGTACCTGAAAGTGTCTACCTGAAAATGAATTACTTAAAGAATAATAAAGGATTATTATTTTTTTAAAGATGAGGTCTTGCTATGTTGCCCAGTCTGGTCTCAAACTCCTGGGCTCAAGTGATCCTCCCACTTTGGCTTCCCAAAGTCCTGGAATTACAATTGTGAGCCACCTTTCCCAGCCAAAGAAGAAGGGTTATTTTATAACCTTCACAATCAGCAACATGTATTGTAACTTAGTGAAAGAAATCCATGGTTTATATATATTACATATATAAGACACACACACACATCTAGTCAGAAAGCACAAAAACCAATGAGTGACAACTGTAGGCTTCAGCTTTAAATTATTCAAAACAATAAAGATGATACTTCCAATTTCAACTGAGACAATATGGTCAAGATATGGATTTGACAAAATCCTGAAAACTTTTAGAAAAAGTGAGAAAGAGAAAGATACTTTGTAAGCACAAAGCATGGGAAAGACAAAAAAAGATGTGAAGATTTTTTATTTGTTCTTTGAAAATGTGCTCATTTATATTTTGTAAGCAATTGACTATTTTCTAGTCTTCCAAATTTAGAAACTGCATTTAAAGATTATCATCTAAGTCAATTCTCATAAGCACTCAGATCTCTGTTCCAACAACATATAACAAAATAAAAACTTACACAAGTCAAAACAAGAAGATTTGTTTCAACATCTCAAGAAAATAAAAACGTTTAATTTATAAGAACCAATCAAATTGTAACTATTTTCTAGATCAATGTTTCTAAAAAGAAAAAAAAAAGGAAAAGTTTTTTTTTTATTTTTAAGAAAAAATACAGGAAAAAAGATTAGCTACTGAAGTGGGGAATGGGGCCAGAAAGTATGGGCAGGTACTGTTGGTGAGTGTCCAAAACCTTTAGGTAGTAAATACAGAATATCGGGAGAATGTGTACATGTTTTAAAGTACCCCTCAAATAATTTTGTTATCCCCGCCCTAGAAGTAACAGTATACTCCCCTCACATGATATTAGAATAATATTTTCTGATTCCTTATACATTTTGAAATTCCTAAAGAGTATTTGATTAAAATTAGTGATCCTTGGGGCAGTAGCTCAACATACTTTTTAAAATACAGGCTTTAAATTTGGGAGACAGTTGCTAAAATATTAACTAAATAATAAGGAGATGGAGGAGTTAGCCAACTCAATAAGGATTTATTATTCAATAATAGGTTATATGTCCAGCATCAGTACTTCTCACATATGGGGATAGAAACAAAAAGTATGTTTAAGATAGGAATCCTGTTTAAAAAAGAATGAATAATTAAGCGGGAAAGGAAAATGAGTGTATGGAGCCACTGAGAGTTGGAGAACAACTAAATGTTAAAATGTGTCAGACATCTTGATGGAGAAGAGAATGAAAATGTAATAAAGATCGATTTTGTGGAATGCTTTTGATTCTAATTTGATATTTTTTTCACACAACAACCTTAAAAGGATGTGTTATTCTTTTTTTTTCTTTTTATTATTATTATTATTATACTTTAAGTTTTAGGGTACATGTGCACAATGTGCAGGTTAGTTACATATGTATACATGTACCATGCTGGTGTGCTGCACCCATTAACTCATCATTTAGCATTAGGTATATCTCCTAATGCTATCCCTCCCCCCTTCCCCCACCCCACAACAGTCCCCAGAGTGTGATATTCCCCTTCCTGTGTCCATGTGTTCTCATTGTTCAATTCCCATCTATGAGTGAGAACATGTGGTGTTTGGTTTTTTATCCTTGTGATAGTTTACTGAGAATGATGATTTCCAATTTCATCCATGTCCCTACAAAGGACATGAACTCATCATTTTTATGGCTGCATAGTATTCCATGGTGTATATGTGCCACATTTTCTTAATCTGGTCTATCATTGTTGGATATTTGGGTTGGTTCTAAGTCTTTGCTATTGTGAATAGTGTCACAATAAACATACCTGTGCATATGTCTTTATAGCAGCATGATTTATAGTCCTTTGGGTATATACCCAGCAATGGGATGGCTGGGTCAAATGGTATTTTTAGTTCTAGATCCCTGAGGAATCGCCACACTGACATCCACAATGGTTGAACTAGTTTACAGTCCCACCAACAGTGTAAAAGTGTTCCTTTTTTTCTCCACATCCTCTCCAGCACCTGTTGTTTCCTGACTTTTTAATGATTGCCATTCTAACTGGTGTGAGATGGTATCTCATTTTGTTTTGATTTGCATTTCTCTGATGGCCAGTGATGATGAGCATTTTTTTCGTATGTCTTTTGGCTGCATAAATGTCTTCTTTTGAGAAGTGTCTCTTCATATCCTTTGCCCACTTTTTGATGGGGTTGTTTGTTTTGTTCTTGTAAATGTGTTTGAGTTCATTGTGGATTCTGGATATTAGCCCTTTGTCAGATGAGTAGGTTGTGAAAATTTTCTCCCATTTTGTAGGTTGCCTGTTCACTCTGATGGTAGTTTCTGTCCCTAACCCATTTTATGAGGCCAGCATCATCCTGATACCAAAGCTGGGCAGAGACACAACCAAAAAAGAGAATTTTAGACCAATGTCCTTGATGAACATTGATGCAAAAATCCTCAATAAAATACTGGCAAACTGAATCCAGCAGCACATCAAAAAGCTTATCCACCATGATCAAGTGGGCTTCATCCCTGGGATGCGAGGCTGGTTCAATATATGCAAATCAATAAATGTAATCCAGCATATAAGCAGAACCAAAGACAAAAACCACATGATTATCTCAATAGATGCAGAAAAGGCCTTTGACAAAATCCAACAACCCTTCATGCTAAAAACTCTCAATCAATTAGGTATTGATGGGACGTATCTCAAAATAATAAGAGCTATCTATGACAAACCCACAGCCAATATCATACTGAATGGGCAAAAACTGGAAGCATTCCCTTTGAAAACTGGCACAAGACAGGGATGCCCTCTCTCACCACTCCTATTCAACATAGTGTTGGAAGTTCTGGCCAGGGCAATTAGGAAGGAGAAGGAAATAAAGGGTATTCAATTAGGAATAGAGGAAGTCAAATTGTCCCTGTTTGCAGATGACATGAATTGTATATCTAGAAAACCCCATTGTCTCAGCCCAAAATCTCCTTAAGCTGATAAGCAACTTCAGCAAAGTCTCAGGATACAAAATCAATGTACAAAAATCACAAGCATTCTTATACACCAATAACAGACAAACAGAGAGCCAAATCATGAGTGAACTCCCATTCACAATTGCTTCAAAGAGAATAAAATACCTAGGAATCCACCTTACAAGGGACGTGAAGGACCTCTTCAAGGAGAACTACAAACCACTGCTCAAGGAAATAAAAGAGGATACAAACAAATGGAAGAACATTCCATGCTCATGGGTAGGAAGAATCAATATCATGAAAATGGCCATACTGCCCAAGGTAATTTATAGATTCAATGCCATCCCCATCAAGCTACCAATGACTTTCTTCACAGAATTGGAAAAAACTACTTTAAAGTTCATATGGAACCGAAAAAGAGCCCGCATTGCCAAGTCAATCCTAAGCCAAAAGAACAAAGCTGGAGGCATCACCCTACCTGACTTCAAACTGTACTACAAGGCTACAGTAACCAAAACAGCATGGTACTGGTACCAAAACAGAGATATAGATCAATGGAACAGAACAGAGCCCTCAGAAATAACGCCGCATATCTACAACTATCTGATCTTTGACAAACCTGAGAAAAACAAGCAATGGGGAAAGGATTCCCTATTTAATAAATGGTGCTGGGAAAACTGGCTAGCCATATGTAGAAAGCTGAAACTGGATCTCTTCCTTACACCTTATACAAAAATTAATTCAAGATGGATTAAAGACTTAAACGTTAGACCTAAAACCATAAAAACCCTAGAAGAAAACCTAGGCATTGCCATTCAGGACATAGGCATGGGCAAGGACTTCATGTCTAAAACATCAAAAGCAATGGCAACAAAAGCCAAAATTGACAAATGGGATCTAATTAAACTAAAGAGCTTCTGCACAGCAAAAGAAACTACCATCAGTGTTATTCTTTTTTTATTGAATGATTCTAGGTGCCAAAATACTGTGTAGGGGTGTTTGTGTGTGCGCACGTTGTGTGTAATTAATATTCAGCTGACAGTTTCAGTCAGTAAATAGCCTAGGTCTCAGTCTGACCCTCCAATGCCACCCAGCACCTAGGGTTCCAACACCCCTCCCTGAAAACCCTTCTGACATAATCACAGGCCAATGATAGCAAGAATCCCTAGTACTATGTTCAAGTGCTAGATCCTGCATCTGTTATACTTAGACCATTTTATTGTGTGATAGCCAGCTCCCAAGATGCGCCCAAAGATTCTCAAATTCTGGCATTTATGGCCTTGTTGTGACCCATAAAATATTCAGAGGTGACACTGTGCAACTTCTGAGGCTAGGCCGTAAGGGGCATTTCATCTTCTTGATTGCTTGCTCTAGGGAAAGACAGCTATGATGTCATTGGGAAAACTCAAGCATTCTTGTGCAGAAGCATACATGGACATGTATTGATGGAGTTCAGGACGTGCTACCACAAAATATGGCATCGTGGCATTTGAGAAAACACTAGAAGCAGGAAGATCACTCTCTCCTTCCCCTCACCTTTCTCCTCTGAAGCAGGTTATAAGATTCTCATTTGAGATGTCTCCACCCTATACTGGAGGAAAGAAACATCCTTATTACTAAAGACACAGATATGCCAAGAAGAATCTGAACAAGTTGGTCTTGCTAAGTTCCTCCCAGTTTACTACCATTATATCACACCCTTTTGTCCTCTGATCACACTTTTTTGTTTTCAATCGTATTTACCCATGGCCATCTACTCTTCATCATACCTAAGCATAAAAATACATATGCCCACCTGTTTCTTTCAGTCATTTCTGAAGGCTTTGATGCCACATAAAACTTACATTTAAAAAATGTGTAGGCTTTTCTTTTGATAATCTGCCTTTTGTTACCAATGCCTCAGCTGTGAACCTTGTTATAGGGATAAAAAATACTTCTTTTTCCCTGTAGTACTAAGACTTCCCACCAACAGCCAGCATTAACTTGCCAGCAATGTAAACAAGCCATAATGGAGCAGATCCTCTATCTCCAGTCATGTTTCCTGTTGACAACTGCCCTAGTTGACATCTAACTGCAATCTTATTAGAAACATCAAACAGTAACTGCCTTGCCAAAACACTCCCAATTTTCTTACCTACAGATACTGTGAGAAATAAGTTTTGAGTAATCTGTTATACAGAATTCCATAACAAGTACAAATTTTCCTACCTAGAAGTAGGATGATGTCATAAAAAAAGCTTAAAATATTGAGGTGGCATTGGTATAGGGCTATAGGAATAAGCCAGAAGGACCTTGAGAAGAATGCCACTGAAAGCCTTGTACAAAATAAAAAGTAAAAAAAGTTTTCTCTGTCTTCTTAGGTTTAGTAAATGGGGACCTGACAATAGACAGATAAACAGGCAAAAAAAAAAAAAAATTCAACTCGATTAATTTTTATTTGTATGTGCACAGAGACATCACAGAAAAAGAGTAAATACCCAATAGCGGTGAGATTTGAGAACTTAAATACCATCTTAATAGAGGAAAGGGAGAAGAAGAAAGGCCACTTAATGGGAGAGCAAATAAATTTTAGTTAGGAAATATAAATGGGCCCTTAGGACAATATATGGGAGATATATACATGAAATATACATGGGAGATAATACATTGTCTGTGACAATGTCTGTCTGGGTGTGGTGTCAACTTATTATCCTTTCTGCTGTGATAAAAGTCAATCTTTCCAGGGTGATGAAACTCCCAGGGAGGAGATTCATGACAATTGAGTTATTTTCTTTCTGAGGATCTACTTTTAGGAAGATAAGGGGAGTTCAGGGAAAGCCTCTTTCTGCATTTGCTGATTCTCAAATGTCTTGAGCTCAAAATAATTCTTATGCTACTGTAGCACATTCTGGACTTTGTCAGCCTAAATAGCCTTAAAGAAACTGTTAGCAGAACCCTGATCACCCTTGAAATGGCTGTTTTGGTAAAGAGTTAAAGGAAAATTAAAAAATGTTATTGGAAAATAGAAGATAGAAAACTCTTGTTTTGTAATGGCAAGCATTTAACCCACATCAGAACATGTATTAGCATGAAAGACAGGGTATGTACCTAATGAAGTGGGTGATCTAGCCAAGGAGATTTCTAGGCACAGTGTTAAAGATGCCACCTGGCTTCTCCTATGCTACACTGTTGGGTTTTTTATACTTATCTGTATTCATTTTATCGCCAATGTGTGGACAAAGTGTTTTGGATAATACACAGATGATTTATTAATGTCTGCATAATAACTGTGTTGGTTTCCCAATGACCTTGTCCTTACCAGTGGGGCAATATAATAAAAGCTAGATGGAGGAATCTATACAAGTGGGCAAAGTGTATACAAATCTATACAAAGTGTCCACAGGCAAGAGATAGTGAAAAAAATATTTTCCCTGCTTACAAGTTGGAGAAAGAAAGACTTACATCTGCTTTCCTCCCAAAAGGAGGTAGATAATAACCTTTGCTCTTGGAAACAGAATGGAAAGAATCCTAGGTTATCATTCTAACTTTTAAAAGTGTAAATACATCTTACCAAGGGCCTTGGTGTCAATGGCTTTTATGACTTAGAGTTTTTCCAAGGTTCCAGGCCTCATTTTCCCTTTAAATTAAAACACATACCTTTAGAATTAGGCAAATATTTTTGGAGTTCTCTCATTATCTATACAATTGTAAATTATCTTCTTAAGTTTGGCTCTTAGTCCAGGATCCTGAGTTTTTAGCATAATTTATTTCAGAATGCCCCACATCTGCATGTACTCATAAATATTCTCTCCATACCTCAAAATTTTTCCTTTGTTGTCTTCTGGTAAATTTGTTCATAATATGCCACATTATTCGTTATTTTGTTTTAATCTGACCAACAAGAACTAGGACCAAATATGTTCAGTCTGTTGAAACAAGTTATTCAACTATTGACAGGACTCCAAGGGTAAGATGAGATCAAATCTGCATTATTATTCTTAGCCACACCTTCCAAGGGTCTTGGGTTTCATCGGTTGAACAAATCTCATTAACGATAAAGGTTTATCTTCGAAAGCCCCGTGGCTTCCCACTTAAGTGTCTGTATTAACTTTGTCCAACTAGCCAGAAGCATACACACAAGGTACAACAGAAATATCAATAATTTTCTCAGACTTCACTTTGATCTGCAAGGAAGCAATCTATAGTAAATTTTGTTTATACAACTCTGGTCAGTGAGATGAAGCTGCCTGTTAAATGCCTTCCAGACTAAGATGGGGTCATGATACACTTGCAATAAAATCTGGGACACATTTCACACCACCTTTCTAATGGAGTAAGTCCTATTGTAGAAAAAATTCTACAGAATATATCTCTGAACACTTTAATGTGTTGCTATCTATCCCTAGGTACCAATCAGAGCTAGAGAGAGGTAAGTTAATATATGCTTTTTACACAGAGGACACAAGAAGCACAATTCCAGAGGTCATATATGTTACTCCTGGAGATAAAGAATTTACAACTGTTGGGGGCTCCTATGCAAGACATACATCAGCCAGGCAGCACAAATAGAGCCTCCAATCTAGTCTCACAACTCCCATCGATCGGTAAATTTTGGAAACCCCCACCCCGCGGCAGTTGAGTCAGAATATTTTAGTTCAATTCAGTCTGTGATTCAGAGGGACCCCTTGAAGGCAGTCAGTTTCCGGCAATTCTGCTAACCCACCACACCAATTTATCTGTTCCACGAGATGTTGATGACATCTGTAGGTACCTTGTGTTGAAAAGTGGAAGCTGAGGCCATCCCCAGCTCTCTTGCAAGGGATGGTTGGCTCAGCAGGTAACCTGAATTCAAAGCCCTCACAATGGCATGAAAGCAGTTTAAAAGAACTCCTTCCAACCAGAGCAGTCAGTTGGCAGAACAGCGTGGACCAGTACTCCAGGGACACTTTCTAAAAGACAGAGCTCCTTAATGTCCCTTTTCCTCTACACTTCTTAGAGGTTTAACTTTACCCTTTCCCAATGGCATGGTTTTTGCTTTCCCTCCATTGTTATAAAATCTGGGTGTCCCATTTCATTAACTCTAACTTTATAGTTTTTCTAGTCATCTTCTACTTTTAGATCTTTTGTTCAGAACATTCTGGTAGAAGAGAAACAAAAGCCTTTTTACAGAAGTACATTTTCATAAAACTTAAAGTCTGAATATGCCAGTTCCCTTTCCAGCCAACCTGACCTGGGTTTACAAAAAAAAAAAAACAAGAACACATCAAGCCCAGGGAAATGACTGGTTCAAAATCCTGAATTGTTTTTTTTAGAATAGGAAGCAGAGGGCATAGCTGCCCCCTTTTCAGGCAAAGCTAGGACTCTGCTGGGTTAATCTGGGCTTTCTTGCAAGGCTTTTCTTTCTTAAGCCCCTTTTTTACCAGTCATTGAGTCTGAGTTGATCCACCCCCCAAAAGTGTGCTTCTCTTTTCCATAAGAGCTCATTTGCATGCTTCAAAGCTACTTTTCAAAACGATATGTATCTAGTAGCCTGCCTAAAATTCCAAGTGTACCTTTGTCAGCAGATAGGCGTTCCAGCTGTCTTCCTTTGCTTAGTTCCTTTCCAGAGGCAGAAATCACAGCAAAAAAAAAAAAAAAAATCCATCAAGAAGACCTGTTGTGTCTCCTATACCTAGAGTTTAACAAGATTTTAGGTCTCCTTTTTGATGGTAAAAAGCCAGCAGTTTTTTTTCCTCTGTCTCACCCAGAGGAAGCAAGAAGCAGTTTGCCCTACCAACATTTGTCTTTGCAGCTTTCCCTGATCAGGGATGATCTATCTCTTAACATTTACGACAAGCATATAATATCCAACATTGATTGCCACCATACACACAGATGCAATAGCACAGAAAACAATACAATACAAAGCAGTTAAAAAATTATTAATTCTTCCTTCTATTTTGTCCGAAAGTTTTGCTCACTTCTAGCAGTTACATTTACCACTTACAGGGTTAAAATCACAACTGCCAAGAGAAAGTATTATCCCTAGCCCTAGCTCTGGGTAATGAAAATGTGAAGTGGAATGCAGCTGCAGTGAATTCTTTTAAACTGCCCCCCGTTTTTTTTCCACTGGCATGAGCCCATGTGTACTAGAAGGATTCAGGGTCTTTTCTTTTGCCCTTTCACATGTTCTTTTGCTTTCATTCTACATTCCTCAGCATCTCATCCACCCCCACCTCCTACATCCCATCCCCACATGAACATGTGTGATCCAAAGTGAAACAGAGCTATCCATATTCAAATCCATTACCTCCCTCACTTTTCCTCAGCATAAATAGACAAGCCTCAACCCATTGTAGAATCAAATCAACTGCAGAATCTGGTCATCTAAGCATCAAAGCTAAGCTACTGTGTGCATTACAGCTAAAACTGCAGATAAGGGTATATGACTTGTTGTCTCAGAGTACATTATCTGCTCCCCTATGATCCCCAAATCCTTTTGAATGCTGGTCTCAGCCTCTTCAAGGGCTTAAATATGATGATGTATGATGTTCATGACTAGGTCATAAAGAACATTGACAATTCTGCTTCACTCTCTTAGATAGCTCACTCTGATGGAATCCAGCCTACATGCCTAAGAACATTCAAACAATATTGTTGTGATGCCTACATGGAGAGACTGAGGCCTTCTACCAAAGTCAGCACCAACCTGCCAGCCAGGCAATTGAGTAACCTTGGAAGCATGTCCTTTAAGATATAGTTTGGATCTCTGTCCCCACCCAAATCTCATCTTGAATTGTAATCCCATAATCCCCATGTGTCATAGGAGGAACCTGGTTGGAGGTAATCAAATCATGAAGGTGATTTCCTCAATGATGTTCTCATGATAGTTAGTGAGTTTTCATGAGATCTATGGTTTTATTAGGGGCTTTTCCACCCTTTCGTGGCAACTCTCCTTCCTACCGCCATGTGAACAAGAATGCGTTTGCTTCCCCTTCCACCATGATTGTAAGTTTCCTAAGGCCTCCCCAATCCTGCAGAACTATAAGTCAATTAAACCTCTTTCCTTTATAAATTACCCAGTTTCAGACAGTTCTTTATAGTAGCATGAGACAGGCTGATAAAGTAAATTGGTACCTCAGAGAGTGGGCTACTGCTATTAAGACACCCAAAAATGAGGAAGCAACTTTGGAACTGGTTAACAGGCAGAGTTTGGAACAGT
Source organism: Homo sapiens (assembly GCF_000001405.40). NCBI lineage: Eukaryota > Metazoa > Chordata > Mammalia > Primates > Hominidae > Homo > Homo sapiens. Next base: position 89,054,007 of record NC_000023.11, on the reverse strand, counting down.
TTGGAGGGCACAGAAGAAGACAGGAAAATGTGGGAAAGTTTGCAACTTCCTAGAGACTTGGAAGGCTCAGAAGACAGGAAGAAGTGGGATGGTTTGGAACTTCCTATAGACTTCTTGAATGGCTTTGACCAAAATGCAGATAGTGATATGGACAACGAAGTCCTGGCTGAGGTGGTCTCAGATGGAGATTAGGAACTTATCGGAACTGGAGTAAATGTCACTCTTGAGATGCTTTAGCAAAGAGACTGATGACATTTTGCCCCTGCCCTAGAAATCTGTGAAGCTTTGAACTTGAAAGAGGATTTAGAGTATCTGGCAGAAGAAATTTCTAAGCAGAAAAGCTTTCAAGAGGTAACAGAGAATAAAAGTTTGGAAAATTTGCAGCCTGATGATGCAGTAACAAAGAAAAATCCATTTTCTGGGGAGAAATGCAAGCCTGATGCAAAAATTTGCATAAGTAACAAGGAGCCAAATGCTAATAACCAAGACAATGTGAAAAACTTTTCCAGGGCATGTAAGAGACTTCATGGCAGCCCCTCTCATAAAAGGCCCAGAGGCCTAGGAGGGAAAAATGGTTTCCTGGGCCAGGTCCAGGGTTCCCCTGCTGTGTGTAGCCTCAGGACTTGGTGCACTGTGTCCCAGCTGCTCCAGCAGTGGCTAAAAGGAGCCAAGCTACAGCTCAGGCCATTGCTTCAGAGGGTGCAAGCCCCAAGCATTGGTGGCTTCTATGTGGTGTTGAGTCTGAGTGTGCACAGAAGACACATATTGAGGCTGGGGAACCTCCAACAAGATTTCAGAGGATGTATGGAAATGCCTGGATGTCCAGGGAGAAGCCAGCTGCAGGGGCAGAGCCTTCATGGAGAACCTCTGCTAGGGAAGTGCAAAAGGCAAATGTAAGTTTGGAGCCCCCACACAGAGTCCCCACTGGGGCACTCTCTAGTGGAGCTGTGAGAAGAAGACCACTGTCCTCCAGGCCCCAGAATTGTAGATACACCAACAGCTTGCACTGTTACCTGGAAAAGACACACGCACTCAATGCAAGCCCATGAAAGCAGCTGAGATGGGGGCTGTACCTTGCAAAGCCAAAGGGGAGGAGATGCCCAAGGCTGTGGGAACCCACTTCTTGCATCAAAAGGACCTGGATGTGAGGCACAGAGTCAAAGGAGATCTTTTTGGAACTTTAAGGTTTAATAACTGCCCTGTTGGATTTCAGATTTGCATGAATCCTGTTGCCCCTTTGTTTTGGCCAATGTCTCTCATTTGGAACAAGTGTATTTACATGATGTCTGTACCTTCATTGTATCTAGGAAGTAACTAACTTGCTTTTAGTTTTACAGGCTCATAAGTGAAAGGGACTTGCCTTGTCTCAGATGAGACTTAGGACTTGGACTTTGAGGTTAACACTAAAATCAGTTAAGAATTTGGGGAACTGTTGGGTAGGCATAATTGTGTCTTGAAATGTGAGAAAGACAATATTTGGGAAGGGCCAGGGCAGAATGATATGGTTTGGTTTTGTCTCTCCACCCAAGTCTCACCTTGAATTGTAATCTCATAATCCCCATGTGTTGTGGGAGGACCCAGTGGGAAGTAACTGAATCATGGGGGCAGTTTTGCCCATGCTGTTCTCACAATAGTGAGTTATCACAAGATCTGAGTGTTTTACAAGGGGCTTTTCCCCCTTTGCTCAGCACTTCTCCTCCCTGCTGCCATGTGAATAAGGAAGTGTTTGATTGCCCTTTTGCCATAATTGTAAGTTTCCTGAGGCCTCCCCAGCCTTGTGGAACTGTGAGTCAATTAAGCCTCTTTCCTTTATAAATTACACAGTCTCAGGTATGTCTTTATTAGCAGAGTGAGAATGGACTAATACACTTTTGCTTCAGCCATGCATTTAGATGACAGCAGCTGTGGCCAACAGGACCTTGCAAATTTATGAGAGACCTCATGCTAGAATCCCCCTGCCAAGCCACTCCAGAATTCTTGATCCACAGAAATGATAGGAGATATAGATAACTTTTTGCTCTTTTTAATTAATGTTTTATAATAGTTTATTGTGCAGCAATAGATAAATAATGCACCATGCAGTGCAGTTTTTAAGGAAATATTATTTCTTCTGTATATTTATTTATAGCTAGTGAGCATGGAGTATGAGTGAGAAGTTAAGGAAATATGAAGAGCAGCATGTTCTACTAGAAAGAAGACATTGTGTTGTACTAGAAAGAAAATTTGCTTTAGAGTGAAGGAAACCTGGATTCCATTTTCATCTCTGCTGGAGACTATATGGCTTTGATCAAATGATTTATCTTTTTTAGGCCTCAGTTTCTTCATCATTATAACTAAAGTCTAGTTTCTACATCATCCAATAGAGTTGTCAGAGAAGATGTCAGTTGCTATGACTGCATAAAAACCATGCTAAAGCTTAGTGGTTTAAAACAATATTCACTATTCCTGAGTTTCTGTGAATCAGATATTCAGAAGCAGCTTGGTTGGACATTCTCTCTTAAGTTTGCAGTAAAGTGGTAGCTGGGACTGGGGTCATCTCAAATGTTAATTCACTTACATGTCACACCTAAGGGCTGACAATAGCTGGAGGATGAAACAGCTGATGCTCCTCCAGCACCTTTTTATTTTTTTTAATCTCTGTGGTCTTTCTTCATGGGCACTTCAGCATAATGGGTTCACAGAAGCCAAGCATCTTACAATTGTTTCTGCATGATAGCTACCCTAACAAAACAGTTAACATCTTTTATGGCTTTTCCCGATAACTCAGAATAAGCTTTATGTGGTCATTTTATTGCAAAAGTAATCAACATACTAAAGTTTGAGAATACTTCTATAGTTCATACTAAATAGCTGCCAGGTTAATTAGGATTGACCTATCTGGCTCTCACTTCATATGGTTTTCATCAATTCTAATCCACTTATATTAATTATTAATAAACATGGGTCAAATTATTGGTTACAATAAGTAAATAAAAATGACTATTTTTCCATATCCCATGTAGATATAAAGTTTATCTAACCTGAACTAAGTGCACAACTTTTTTCCAATTTTACCTTTTCTTCACTCTTGACTTTAAACACATTTTTATTTTCAGTAGCCTAACTGCATGTCTATTTTTACCTCATTTCAACTGAACATTTGATGGAGCTTCAACTATTTGAAATACTGTGATTAATGCTTGTTTATTTAGGAACTGATTAGGCAACTCTCAGACTCTTCGGTCCCCTGGTCTCATTCTTCTTCTAGTTTTCCTGTACAGTTTCCCTGCTCAGTCTTCATTATTATCTTTTCAACAGAGTAAGCAAGTTGCAAAGGGTGATCGCATGGAAGTAAAACCTAATTAAGTAATCTATGGGTTGGCATCTTTCTTGACAATGTGGTAGATATGGAGATTATGTTTCTTGCTTTACTTAAAGAACCAAGATTTTTTGGGGAAAAAAATTATCATGACGACAAGATCATCTGCCAAAATGTGTAAAGTGACAGCTCCCAAAGGCAACAAAATATAACTCAAATAATTCTAAACTACTTCAGATTTTTTCTTGATATAAATGCTTGCCATATGATGGATCCTTAATTATTTCCAAATACCTATTGCACATTTGTCGTTGAAATGTTCTTATCTGAGAGCATGATTACTGCAGGCTATGGTGTAAAATACAGCTGCGATTAGATAGATATATTGGAGAGCATTGGTATAAGCAAACAGACTCTTTAGAATCATTATTCTAAGGCTTGTTATCTTATTTACTTTAAAAAATTTGCTGCGGGATAGATTCTCATATTAAATGCAACGATATTTTTTAAATTCAGATTTAAGGGGTAATATGCACTGTCTTCCTTGTGCTCTCTAAAAGGCCTAAAGACAGTTGTTCCCAAAAGGAATAATTAATGTTGAACGTAAATTTTGAATGCTAATTAAAAATCTGTTAATCTTTACTGTTCTATGGTAAACAAAAACAGTTTTAATGTTTGTGCCAAACTAATTTTATTGACAAAGCCTTGGCATCATCAAATGTCAAAACTTCAGATTTAGTGAAAAGTTTACAGTGTTTCATGAATTTCAAAATGTGTCCAAACACTTAATTTTGTAAAGCATCTGTTACAGACCAACTCATGGAATGCTAAACATTTCTGTATGTATTCCATTTGGTTAGCTAAAAGTTTATTTAATTCCATTCAACATTTTTCTCAACATGACCCTCTGGCAAGCAAGATTTCCAACAAGACACTGTGGCAATAAAAGCGTGCCACCTTGTGTTATTTTTTATTTTCTCTAAATCTAAAATGGATCATTGCTAGTTTAACTAAATATTACTGAGAACTGAATTATGATGTAACAAATCTCTATCTATTTAGTAAAACAATATCTACTTGTAAATTTACAATACTTTTTTTAACCTTTCTGTAAGAACAAGCAGACAAAGGAGAAAGTCGTCATTACTATTAGCAAATCAAATGGACCTTTAGGCTTATAGATATTTATTTACTATTTTTATATCATCTGTTTCTAAAGGTAAATAAAATGAAAATGTACATTGTTTTTTCTTTTAAACAGCTTCTACGAATACATGGGACAATAACTATGCCGTGAATTCATTCCTTTTTGTTGCAATGAAATGTTCTCTACGAACACTTTTCTTTTTAGAAACCAAAAATTAGGGACAATTTGAAGTATTTCCTTAATCTCAGTCAAATTCCAGAATGATGAAATATTCAAAGCTGATTAAGAGATCAGGTAATCATTTGACAAAACATAGTAGAGGGCCAGTGCTTGATTTTTATATATAAACAAAAAATGACTAGGCTCAGTGGCTCATGCCTATAATCCCAACATTTTAGGAGGCCAAAGTGGAAGCATTGCTTGAGCCCTGGAGTTCAAGATTAGCCTGGGCAACATATTGTGACCATCTCTACAGAAAATAAAAATAAAAATTAGTTGGGCATGTGGTGTGTGCCTGTAGTCCCCAGTTACTTTGGAGACTGAGGTGAGAGGACTGTTTGAGCCTGGGAGGCCAAGGCTGCAGTGGCCTGTGATTGTGCCATGGCACTCCAGCCTAGGTGACAGAGTGAGAACCTGGCTCAAAAAAAAAAATACATACACATATATATATATATATATATATATATATTTACCCTAAGTAGTAAACTCCTTGTGTACTTCAGTTATCAGTTATAGAGCTTTACGTATTGAATGTTATGATACCCTCTGCTTTCAGTTCTGTTCACTATTCTCCTTTTTTAAATCTTTGAAAACACTAGCGTCGTAATCATTCTCATCAAAATAAATTCTGACTTTTGAAAGCAATTTCACTTAAACGTCAACATCTACTGGCACAAAAAGAGTTTTGCCTTATTTGCTATTTTATGTTTAAATAAATATCATCTTACTGATGGTACATTATCCTACAAATAGCCACTTAGTTTCCAAGTAGACCCACATATAAACTTAAAACAAACACATAGATATCTCAAAATGCATTACAGCTCTTAATTATTCTAATTTATGATCACTTTTAAAACAAATAAACCTGCCTCATACTAACATTCCAGAAACTATTTATTAATTAGAAACTTTGCATTTAATAGCTTTCAGACATTCTGAAGAAGAGAAAGGAGATACCAATTACATATGAGGGGACTTTTACAGCATTACTTTCTATGCATATCATCAACAGATTAGTACAAATGCATTTCAAATTGATTTTGAATAACCAGATGTGATCAATTGTGAATAGTATATTGATATTGATGATATACTAATTAGAGATAAATTCCTAGATGTAGATGCGGATACAGATCTACATATATAAGCACTTTAAATGGCCAATAAAATACCAGTGCTGGGACTTTTTTAATGGTTATCTTGGTATCAACTGTCCCTCTATTTTACTCTGTTTTGAGGAGTTTACTATTACTTTGGGCCATTTATAAGGGAATTTAAATATGAGTTAATTTGGATGAAATTCGGAGAGGACCCCAGGTCTGGAGAGTTTCCAGGGCCCTCACATTTGGTTGTATAGATTGTGTACTACACAGCTTTAGGGTACTGTATTTCACATTGTAATCAACATGAATAAAATAAACTGTGAAACTTGTAAACGGACCTCACTAAGACCATAGGTGGCAGCCACACTGGATCTTAAAGTCACTGTTAATAAAATAATACCTAAATTATAGAAATATGTAACAGAAAACCAGGAACTAACAGAATGTTTCCTCACACAGTATGTCTGTATTTTCAGAAGTGGGTTAAGGATTTTGTTTGCCAGGTTCCCTTCTATTTTCTCCAGGCACTAGCATGGCATCCAGGCATTGATTAGGCTTTTTCACAACTCTAAAGTACAGGAACTAAACTTACTAGAAATTTCTCCCAAAAGTAATCCCTGTGTGTTTGCTCTCAGTTTTCAGTTCTAGTTTATATTCACGCAATCCTATAAATTCTCTCAAATCAAATCGTCTTTGCTCCTTCCCATCTTCCAATCCATTTGACTCCCTGCTAATCTCTCAGCGATCTTGAATGGTATCCAATTTCTGTATTTTTCCTTAAAAGTTTATTGCTGTATTATAGACACAGTGCCCTGGTTTTCAGGTCTTTTCTTTTGAATTTCAAAGCCCTATTTTGTAAAACAAAATAAAAAATAAATAAATAAATAAATTTTATTTCAATAAAAATCTGACTTCAATCTTAATTTATATGGATGCTTCTGATTAACAAAGTTTGAAAAAGTCACCAACAATGAAAACAGAGATGAAGAGAAGGAAGAAAAACAACTAGATATATTTTATTTATCAGAATATGTTTTGGGGAGAAAAGGGTCTCACTGGGTCACTCAGGCTGGAGTGCAGTGGTGCAGTCATGGTTCACTGCAGCCTCAAACTCCTGGGCTCAAATGATCATCCTGTCTCAACCTCCCAAATAGCTAAGATTACAGGTGCATGCCACCAGGCCCAGATAATTTTTCATTTTTACCTTTTTGTAGAGATGAGGTCTTGCTATGTTGCCCAGGCTGGTCTTGAACTCTTGGCTTCAAGCAATTCCCTTGACTCAGCCTTGCCAAGTGCTGGGATTACAGACATGTGTCACCATGCTCAGACTTTCAGAACAGTTTTTCCCTGAAATTTAAGGAAAAGTTGGGACAAAAGTCAATGATGGAGCAAACTTGCTTTGTGCTCATCATATACCTATAGTTATGTAAGATAATTTAAAAATAATTTCATCCCTGGGAAAATATATAATCATGTGTTTTGTTTGACTTCACAAAGATGGCTTCAATTCTTGTCATTCAGTGATCTGAACGAAGAATTATACCATTTTGCATAGGAAGGTCCAAGCACTCTAGGGCTAATATTCCGAATTCTTCTCCTCAATATTTAGAATGGAGATCTGCTGGCAAGGGCCAAGAATGATCAGATCAAGGCCAAGTTAAAGGCAATTTTATGAAGGAAACATAGCATATAATTTAATTTTACATTTTGTTTCTTACTATTGAATTTGAACATTTTTTATTTACTTTGGGCCACTTGCATTTCTTTACTTTTCTTGTTTTAGCTACTTCTTGAAGCTTTTCTTTTTTTGATTGATATTTATTTTGTTCTTATTTGAAAAGCAGTATGCATATGTATGATAGATGTATACACACATGTTCATACATACATGCACATATATAGAAGGTAATTGTATAGATGATAAGTCTAAAATGCAAGCAAGTAGAAAGAGAGTATACAGTGGAATATTTCTAACATTAAATTAGATGAGCAAGAAAGTAGATCATTCTGGGTTTGTGAATCTTTAGATATTAAAAATTGCACTTACACAGTTTTCCTTGAGTAGATTTGGATTTGGAAAAATGATTGTGTGCCTGTAGCAAAGTCAAATATGACACGTGCTCTCCTACATTTCTCAGCCTCCTTGTAGTTACACCTCCTTGCAGGACCATGTGAATAATTCTTGTCAATGATTTGTGAAGAGAAATTATGCATGTGTCTTTCAGGTTGATTTTACCAATGGGTAAAAGTGAAATCATGAAACTCCCTTGAGGAGCATGAAAGTGAAAACACAACATACCAAAACATATGCAATCCAGCAAAAGAAGTGCTTAATTAAAAGTTATAGTCATGAGTGTAGTGGCTAAGGCCCGTAACCCCAGCTACATGGGAGGCTAAAGCAGGAGGATCACTTGAGGCCGGGAGTTTGAGACTAGTGTGGGAAATATAGTGTGATCTAATTTTAAAAAATTAAAAAATTAGCCAGGCATAACGACATGCACCTGTAGTCCCAGCTACTCAGTAGGCTGAGGAGGAATGGTGGGAGGATCACTGGATCCCAGAGGGTTGAGGCTACCATAAGCTATGATCACATCACTGCACTCCAGCCTAGGTGACAGAGTGAGACCTTGTCTCCAAAAAAAAAAAAAAAAAAGATAATAACAGTTATAGTTGTAAACATATATATTAAAAAGAAGGAAGATCTTCTCAAATCAATAACCTAAGCTTTCACCTTAAGAAGCCAGAAGAACCACTAAATCCAAAGCAAGCACAAAAATGGAATAATAAAAATGAGAGCTAAAATAAATGTAATAGAGAAGAGAAAAACAGAAGATTAACAAAACCAAAAGTTTGGTTGGTTCTATGAAGAAGAAGACAGAAGAAAAAGGAGGAGGAGGAGGAGGAGGAGAAGGAGAAGGAGAAGGAGGAAGAAGAAGGGCTAGAAGAAGAACAAGAATTAAAATACATCAGTAATGAAACAGGGGATATTGGTACTGACCTTACAAAAATAAAAAGGATTATTAGGGCATACTGTAAATAGCTGCATACTAACAAATTAGATAACTTAGATGAAATGAACAAATTCTTAAAAACACACAATCAAAATTAACTCAATGAGAAGAAGAAAACATGAATTGACCTATAACAAGTGAAGAGATTGCACTAGTAATTTAAAAACTTCCTACAGAGAAAACTCCAAGGCCAGATAGTTTCACAGGTGAATTCTACCAAAGCAAAGAATTATTATTGCTTCTCAAACTGTTCCAAATACTAGTAGAGAAGGTAAAACATAGAAACTAATTCTATGAAGTCAGTATTACCCTGATAACAGTGCTAGACAAAGACATCAAAATAAAACTACAAATCAATTTAACTTATCAATGTAGATGCAAAAATCTTCAAGAAAATATGGCTATCAATATACAGCAGTTTATGAAAAGGATCATACATCATGACCAACTGGGATTTATTTCAGGAATGCAAACCCGGTTCAAAATATAAAAACTGAATCAATGCAATACATCCTATTAATAAAATTATATAAACAAATTATTATCTCAATAGATGTAGAAAAAATTTGATTAAATCCAACACCCTTTCCTGATAAAAACTACAATAAACTAGAAATAAAAGAGACATATCTGATCAGGCTCAGTGGCTCACGCCTGTAATCCCAGCATATGTTAGGTTAAAAAACAAGTTTTTTGTTTTTGTTTTTTTTTGAAACAGGATCTCACTTTGTCACCCAGGACAGAGTGCAGTGGCATGATCTCACCTTACTGCAGCCTCAAACTCCCAGGTTCAAACGATCCTCCTGCCTCAGCACCACCAAGTAGCTGGGACTAAAGGCATGTGCCACCATGCCTGGCTAATTTTTGTATTTTTCTTTTCCTTTTGTAGAGATGGAGTTTCGCTATGTTACCTAGGCTGTTCTCGAACTCCTGAGCTCAAGAGATGCACCTGCTTGGTTTCCCAATGTGTTAGGATTACAAGTGTGAGCCACTGTGTCTAGCCAAACACGTCTTAAAACAGTAATAATAATAATTATTATAATAATAGTGTCAAACATTTTATAAGACCGCAGTAGAATACAACTATAAATCAATAATAAGAGGAATTTTGGAAATTATAGAAATACATTAAAATTAAACAATATGCTACTGAATAATCAGTGAGTCAATGAGGAAATTAGAAGGAAACTAAAAATTGTTTTTTGAACACATGATAATGAAAACACAACATACCAAAGCCTATGAGATACAGCAAACTGGTACTAAGAAGGAATTTTATAGCTATAAATGCCTATATAAAAAATTAAATAAATAACCTAACGATGTACCTTAAAGACTAAAAATGCAAGAGCAAGTCAAACCCAAAATTAGTAGAAGAAAAATAAAGATAAGAGCAGTGATAATTGAATTTGAAGTGAAGAAAACAATACAAAAAAATCTATGAAATAAGAAGTTGGTTTTTTGAAAAGTTAAGCAAAATTGACAAACCTTTAGCCAGACCAAAACAAAAAAAAAAGAGAGAGAGAGAGAGACAAGATTCAAGTAAATAAAATTAGAGATGAAAGAAGACATTGCAACTGATGGTACATAAATTAAAAAGATTATTAGTGGCTGTCATTAGCAAATATGTGCAAATAAATTGAAAAATCTAGAAGAAATGGACAAATTCCTAGGCACATACTACCAATGATGATTGAAACATGAATAAATCCAAATTACCAACAGACCAGTAGCAAGTAATGAGATGGAAGTTGTTTGTTCTAAAACAGTCTCCCATTGAAGAAAACTCTAGGACCCAATGGCTATATGCTGAATTCTACAAAACATTTGAAGAAGAACTAATACCAATCCTACTTAAAACATTTTGAAAATTAGAGAAGAAAATACTTCCAAGCTCATTCTACAAGTGCAGTACTACCCTGATACCAAAACCGAAGACACATCCAAAAAAAAAATTATACTTACAGGGCAATATTCATAATGAATGTACATGCATAAATTCTCAAAAGTATAAAATATTTGCAAACTAAAATCAACAATATGCTAAAAATATTATTAATCATGACCAAGTCAGATTTATCTCTGGGATGCAAGGATGCTTCAACATATGCAAATCAATCAATGTGATACATTATATAAGCAGAAAGGACAAAAAACATATGACCATTTCAGTTGATACTGAAAAAGCACTAGATAAAATTCAATATCCTTTCATATAAAAACCCTCAAAAGACTGGGGGTGGAAGGAAGACACATTAATGTAATAAAAGCCATATATGTCAAACTCACAGCTAGTATCATATTGAATGGGGAAAACTGAAAGCCTTTCATCTAAGATCTAGAACAAGACAAGGATGTTAACTTTCATCACTGTGTTTCAATATAGTACTGGAAGTCTAAGCTAGAGCTATCAGACAAGAGAAAGGAAAGGAAGAAGTCAAATTACACTTATTTGCAAATGATATGATCTTGTATTTGAAAAAAAACTAAAGATTCCATCAAAAAAATTTTTCAGAACTGATATACAAATTTCTTAAAGTTGTAGGATACAAAATCAACACAAAAAAATCAGTAACATTTTTATATACCAGCAGTGAACAAACTGAAAAAGCATTAAAGAATTGCTTCCACTTAAAATAGCCACAAATAATATTAAATACATAGGAATTAACTTAATGAAGTGAAAGATCTCCGTAATGAAAACTGTAAAACACTAATGAAAGAAATTAATGAAGATACCAAAAAAATAAAAAGATAGTTTATGTTCATGGATGGAAGGAATTAATATAGTTAAAGTGTCCATACTACTCAAAGCAATCTATGAATTTACTGCAATCGCTATCAGAATACCAATGACATTCTTCAGAGAATTTTTTAACTATAAATTTATATGGAACCACAAAAGACCTAGAATAGCCAATGCTATTCTTATTTATTTATTTATTTATTTATTTATTTATTTATTTATTTTGAGACAGAGTTTCACTCTCATTGCCCTTGCTGAAATGCATTGGCGCGATCTTGGCTCACTGCAACCTCTGCCTCTGGGGTTCAAGTGATTCTCCTCCCACAGCCTCCGGAGTAGCTGGGATTACAGACACGAGCCACCATGCCCAGCTAATTTTTTGTATGTTTAGTAGAGACAGGGTTTTGCTGTATTGACCAGGCAGGTCTCGAACTCCTGACCTCAAGTGATCCACCTGCCTTGGCCTCCCAAAGTGCTGGGATTACAGGAGTGAGCCACTGCACCTGGTCTAGCCAAAGCTATTCTAAGAAAAAGAAACAAAGCTGAAGGAATAACATTACCTGACTTCAAATTGTACTACTGAGCTATAGTAACCAAAACACCAAGGTACTGGCTTAGACACATAGACCAATGGAACAGAATAGAGAACCCCAAAACAAACCCACACACTCACAGTGAACTCATTTTTCCAAGAATGTGCACTGAGGAAAAGACAATCTCTTCAATAAATTGTACTGTGAAAACTGGATTTTCATATGCAGAAGAATGAAAACTGGCACTTATCTCTAACCACACACAATAATTACCTCAAAGTGGATTAAATATTTAAATCTATGACCCGAACTAATAAACCCACTACAAGCAAACCTCAAGGAAACTTTCCAAGTCATTGGTCTAGGCAACGATATTTTGAGTAACACCCCATAAGCAAAGACAACCAAAGCAAAAATAAATGAATAAGATTATATCTAGTTAAAAAGCTTCTGCGCGGCAAAGGAAACAATCAACAAAGTGAAGAGACAACACAAAAAATGGGAGAAAATATTTGCAAACTACCAATGTGACAAGAGATTTATAACTGGAATATATAAAGAATTCAAACAACTCTATAGAAAAATATCTAGTTACCTAATTAAAAAATAGGCAAATATTTCAATAGATATTTCTCAAAATAAGATAATTAATTGGTAAACAGACATATAAAAAGTTTCTCAACATTACTGATCATCAGAGAAATGCAAATCCAAACTACAGTAAGGTATTATCTCACCTTAATTAGAATGGCTTTTACCCAAAAGACAGGCAATAAAAACTAGCTAACTTCAATATGACAGGATCAAATCCACATGTATCAATACTAACTTTAAATGTAAATTAGTGAAATGCCACAATTAAAAGACATAGAGTGGCAAGCTGGATGAGGAACCAAGATCCATTTTTATACTGTCTTCAAGAGACACATATCATATGCAATGATTCCCATAGGCTTAAAATAGAGGCATGGAGAAAAATCTATAAAGCAAATGGAAAACAGAAGAAAATCAGGGGTTTTAATCTTAGTTTCAGAAAAACAAACAGACTTTAACAAAAGTCAAAAAAGACAATGAGGAGCATTATATAATGGTAACATGTTCAATTCAACAAGAAGACCTAACTATTCTAAATATGTATGCATCCAACACAGGAGGACCCAGATTCATAAAGCAAGTTCTGATGGACATTTTAAAGAGACTAAGCCTCCACACAATAATAGGGAGAGACTTCAACACCCCACTGGCACTATTAGATTATTGAGGCAGAAAATTCACAAAGATATTTAGGACCTGAACTTAGCGCTGAATCAAATGGATCTGATAGACATCTACACAACTCTCCACTCAGAACAACAGAGTCTACATTCTTCTAATCACCACATAGCATGTGCCGTAAAATTGACCACATAATTGGATACAAAACACTCCTCAGAAAATGCAAGACATATGAAATTATAGCAACCACTCTCTTGGACCACAGTGCAATAAATTTAGAGATCAAGACTAAGAAAATCACTCAAAACCATATAATTACATGGAAACTGAATAACTTGCTCCTGAATGACTTTTGGGTAAATAATAAATTTAAAGGAGAAATCAAGAATTGCTTTGAAACTAGTGAGAACAAAGATAAAACACACTAGAATCTTTGGGACACAGCTAAGATGGTTTTAAGAAAATTTGTAGCACTAAATTCCCATATTGCAAAGTTAGAAAGATCTCAATTTTAAAACCTAAAATCATAACTGAAAGAACTACAGAACCAAGAACAATTCAACTTCAAAGCTGGCAGAAGACAAGAAAAAATAAAATCAGAGCTCAACTGAAGGACAGTGAGACACAAAAGCCTTTCAAAAGATCAATGAATCCAAGAATTGGTATTTGAAAAAATTAATAAAATAGATAGATAGATTAGTCTGGTATCATACTTCTATAAAGAACTGCATGAGACTGGGTAATTTATAAAGGAAAACACTTCATTGACTCACAGTTCAGCATGGCTGGGGAGGCCTCAAAAAACTTACAATCATGGTGGAAGGTGAAGAGGAATCATTGCACCTTCTTCATAGGACAGCAGAAAGAAGAATGAATGCAGAAGTGACTACCAAACACTTATAAAATGATCAGATCTTGCAATAACACACTCACTAGCATAAACACAGCATGGAGTAAACCACCCCTATGATCCAATTACCTCTATTTGGTCTCTCCCTTGACATGTGGGGATTATATGTTTGCAAGGTATAGCCCCCATTTCAACTGCTTTCACAGGCTGACATTGAATGTCTGTGGCGTTTCCACTGGCACAACGCAAGCTGTTGGTGGATCTACCATGCTGGGGTCTGAAGGATGCTGGCCCTATTCTCACAGCTCCACTAGGCAGTGCCCCACTGGGGACCTGGTCTCTGATGCCACGTTTCCCTTCTACACTGCACTAGCAGTGGTTCTCCATGAGGAATCACCCCTGGAGCAAACTTCTGCCTGGACATCTAGACATTTCCATACATCCTCTGAAAGGCAGAGGTTCCCAAACTCAATTCTTGACTTCTGTGCATCTGCAGGCTAAACACCACATGTAAGCTGCCAAGCCTTGGGGCCTGCACCTTCTGAATAAATGGCCTCAGCTTTATCTTGGCCCCTTTTAGCCATGGCTGGAATGCAGGGCACCAAGTCTTGAGACTGCACAAAGCAACAAGTCCCTGGGCCCAGCCCATGAAACAATTTTCTCTTTCTGGGCCTCCCAGACTGTGATGTGAGGGGCTGTCGAGAAGACTTCTAACATGCCCTGGAGACATTTTCCCCATTGTTTTGACAATTAACATTTGGCTTCTCATTACTTAATGCAAATTTTTGCAGCCAGCTTAAATTTCTCTTCAGAAAATGGGATTTTCTTTTCTAATTGCATCATCAGGCTAAAAATTTTCCAAAGTTTTATGCTCTGCTTCTCTTTTAAGCATAAATTCCAACTGAATGCTTTTAAGAAAACCTAAGTAGCACTGAATGCTTTGTTGCTTATAAATTTCTTCTGTCACATACCCTAAATAATCTCTCTCAAGTTTAAAGTTACACTAATATTTCAGGCAGTGGCAAAATGCCCCCAGTCTCTTTGCAAAAGCATAGCAAGAATCATGTTTATACCAGTTCTCAACAAGTTTCTCATCTCCATCTGAGACCACCTCAGCCTGGACTTCACTGTCCATATCACTATCAGCATTTTGGTCAAAGCCATTCAACAAGTATCTGGGAAGTTCCAAACTTTCCCACATCAGCCTGTCTTTCTTTTGGAGTAATCTCTCCAGGAAGGCAAGTGCTATAATTTTCTTGTTCATTATTATACTCCAATACAAAGTATCAAAATCACAATACTTGCTCACATATTCATTGATTCAATATGGGAAATAAAATGTCATTTTCATTAGGACATAGTGGTGTGCACTGGTAGTCCCAGTTACTTGAATGGCTGAAGAGGCAAGATATATTAAGCCCTGGAGTTTGAGTCCAGCCTGAGCAACATAGTGAGACACCCATCTTTATTGGAAATAAATTAATTAATTAACTGTTTTTAATATTTTTAATTCATCAAGAAAGAAGCCATTAAAGAGCACTTCTAGTTTTTACAGATAATGTCATTTTCCAAAGAATGAGGAGACACATATATGCATGTATGTGTATTTGCATATACATACAATGTGTGTATATATGCATATACATACAATGTGTGTATATATGCATATACATACAATGTGTGTATATATGCATATACATACAATGTGTGTATATATGCATATACATACAATGTGTGTATATATGCATATGCATACAATGTGTGTATATATGCATATGCATACAATGTGTGTATATATTTGCTTATAGTTTTAAAAAGTTAGGTTAAACTAAATATTAATTAAAAAGTTAACTATAAGGGAAGGATAAAGGGTGAAAGAGATGGTGATAAAAGCAATTATATGGGGAAGCTTTGTCAGTGTGTCTCACCCACTTGAAAAGAGAAAACTAGTATGTAGAGACTCATGCTATAAACTTTTATCAAAGGAACACAGGAACTCAACAGAAAAACTGGAAGAAACATAACACATTTTGAAAGAAGCAGTGGGCAGCAACCTTCAATTTGAGTCAGGTGGAAAACTGTGCATCTCCAGAGTGAAATGGGAAGAGACTTTCTATGATACACATGCCCACTGGGAAGCTGAGCATTCCAAGCCATGGGGCAGTGCCTTAACCCTGCTCAGCACTTGAGATGATTTGGTGAGTGATGAAAAGGCTAAGAGGTTAGACATTGGTAAGTTCCTTGTGTGCACTGCCAGACCCCAACAAAGATAAAAGGAAGCCATTCTTGATCCTAACTCATAGGAGACCTGTGGAAGTCTCCCAACTAACTCAGGCAGTGGTCACAGGTTGTTAAAAGCCCCCAGCTGAGATTTGCAATCTAATCTTGAGTAGGGATGAACTCCTTTGGCGAGAGCTAAGAGATGAGCAGAAAGCATGCTTTTGTCAAAGTGTGGGAGCCAGGTGCCCCAAGTTCACCTTCAGAGGAGACCTGGAGAGTGGACTGAAAACCTGTTTCTCTCTGGAGAAAGAAACCCTGTGGCCTTGCATACTTTTGTGTTCAGAGTGTAGACTGTCTGCGACTCTGCTAGCTGTTTCCAGCAGAAGTCTGTGGGTGTGACGCCTGCCTTGCTTAGGGTATGGGAGCTGGGTGTTGTCTTACTCCTACCTGCTTCCCCTCTCTCCCTGTGTGGATTATTTTGTGCAGCAAAGGCAATTGTGATCCTTCATGAAATATTACTCTAACAGCCAGAGAACTACCCTCTGATTCTCAATGGGACTGCCACTTGCACTAGCATGTGGGGAGCCAGAGTGTGGATTTGCCTTACTCAATCCCCACCTGGCTTTGTCCCTCCACTCACCTTAGTAGCATAATACAATGGACAGAGATTTTTGGGAGTTCCATGACCCCACTCATTGCCTGTGACACCTGAGATCTTTTCCTGGGTAACATAAACCAAGCACAAATCTCACAGCCACCACCACAACTGGCACTCTTCTGCAAGTGCCAACACCTGGTTGAAGGCCAACTGGCACAACCTATTACAACATCTGTTGGCACAATAACAAAGCATTTGAGGCCAGGCACGGAGGCTCACATCTGTAATCCCAGCACTTAGGGAGGTCGAGACAGGCGGATCACTTGAGGTCAGGTGTTCGAGACAAGCCTGGCAACATGACAAAACCCCATCTCTACTAAAAATACAAAAATTAGTCAGATGTGATGGTGCATGTCTGTAATACCAGCTACTCAGGGGACTCAGGTACAAGAATCACTCGAACCTGTGAGGCAGAGGTTGCAGTGAGCCAAGATCACACTACTGTACTCCAGCCTGGGCAACAGAGAGAGACTATCACACACACATACAAAAATAGCACTTGAGAAGGAAAAAACTTGTGTAACTTCAGCTAATACCATTGTCCATGCAACCCCATCTAATCAAATCGTCTTAAACCTGTCCATTTTTCCAGTACATTACTACTGCAGCTGGTATTTGAGAAAGCCACTACACTAAGACTAATCATAATGAAGGAAATCGTACAGGATCTATGTCACTCCCCTGCCACTCTTATTAGAGCTGGTGCTTACACCTGTTACTGGGAGACTAGGGGACAGATCAGTTTGGGTCAGCTCCATTCAACATTGCCCACTATGGAAGCTGAGTTGAGCACAGCTATTGCACATCCCACAGATCTGTCAATATCCTGAGGCATTGGAGAGCTTCTCCAGAGAGCTGACTAGAGAACTCAATGACCAATGTTCCTCAGAATGAAGAACCAAAATTATAGATGAATAATCACAGCCCAAATGGAGTGTTAAGGGGAGAATGCTGGAGCTCATCAGAGAGTTAACTGGAAGAATCTATGACACACACACAAAACAAAGTAACAAGAAGCCAGCAAGGTTAAACCCTAAGATACTTAGTATTTTGAGGAAAATGTAGGTAGGAGTGCTCTCAGCCTCTCCCACCCTTGTTGGTGGTGTCCAAGATCAAGGAGAGTTTATTTGCCCTTGCTAGTCCAGTACTTGAGTTGACTGCAATTTGGGGACTTCTCTAGGGCATTATTTTGCTCACATAAGGTCCCTTCCTTTTCCCTCTAGATATGAACTATAGTAGCAGGTGCCATACTGTGTGTGCACCCATTGTGGTACATTGTTCTGCTCAGAGACCTTCAACCCTTGTGTCTTTTCATCACCGGATCCCTTGCAGACATCCCCCAGCACCACTCTGGGTTGTGGCAGTCCACAGGGTAGCTAAATTCAGAGGAGAAGCAGAATTCACAGTAGACTGGCCCTCAGGGATTGTCACTCTTAGGGGAAGGGGAAGTTCATCGCATTAAAGGAGCACCCCTTGGGACAAAAAAAAAAAAAATGCAGACATTGAAGCCCAAAACTTTTTTGCTTGTGGAAAGTTTCTTTCATCAGAGGCAGAGGCACAGTTCTGGGATGAGTGGGGAAAGACTGTGGTTCTACCCCATTAGTCAAGCACCCCTGGTGCTTATGAAGAAATTTGGAGAATGGGAGTTTTTCTCCCCCTCACCCACTGCTTCAGACACATCTGGGGCTTCTATTATTGGAACTCAACCTAACTACATCTGTTGAAGTTCTTTCTGGACCTCTTTGTGTGACTTCATCTCCATGAGAGAAGTGCACTCCAGTCTTAGGGTTTCAGAAGGTGTTAAGTCCCAGTTCCTCTCTACATGAAACAGCAGAGTTCTGCAGATGGACAGAAGTGCTTATCTGATCTGAATATCTAAAGCACTTAGAGGAGCATAATAGACATGTGGATCACTTTCCTGCTGAATTGATAGAAAAGCTGAGGTGGCTCCAACATTTCTCCCTGCAAAGAAATCAGCACATTTGAAAGGATTTAGATTTGTGTTCCCACCAAAATCTCATGTCTAATGGTAATCCACAATGTTGGAGGTGTGGCCTAGTGGGAGGTGATTGGATCATGGGGGTGGATTTCCTCCTTTGGTGCTATTCTTGTTTTTGTAATAGCGTTTGCACAAGATCTGGTTATTTAAAAGTGTATAAGCACCTCCCCCACCACTTCCTTCTTCTGAACTGTAGGCTCCCCCTTTGCCATCCACCATAACTGTAAGTTCCTTAAGCTTCCCCAGAAGGTAAGCCAGTGCCAGAATTATGCTTCCTGTGCAGCCTGTGGAAGTGTATGCCAATTAAACTTTTTTCTTATAAATTATCCAGGTGCAGGTATTTCTCTATAGTAGTGCAAAAAAAAAAAAAAAAAGACTAATACAGAAAATTGGCACTGAGGAACAGGGCATTGCATAAGGATACCTAAGAATGTGAAAGAAGCTTTGGAACTGAGTAATGGGCAGAGATTGGAACAGTTTGGAGGGCTCAGAAGAAGACAGAAAGATGAGGATAAGTTTGGAACTTGCTAGATGTTTTTTGAATTGTTGTGATCTTAAAATGCTGATAGTGATATGGACAATGAAGTTCAGGCTGAAGAAGTCACAGATATAAAAGAGAAACATATTTTTAGCTGGAGCAAATGTCACTTTTGTTACACTTTAGCATAAAACTTGGAGGCATTGTGCCCCTGTGCTAGGAATCTGTGGAACTTTGAACTCAAGAATCATTATTTAGGGTATCTGGCAGAAGAAATTTTTAAGCAGCAGTGTTCAAGATATGGACTGGCTGCTTCCATCTACCTATGCTCATAAGTGAACAAATAAATGACCTGAACTTATGTTTAAAAGGGAAGCAGAGTGGAAAAGTTTGGATAATTTTCAGCCTGATCATTTGATAGAAAAGAAATATCCATTTTCTGAGGAGAAATTCAAGCAGGTTGCATAAATTTTTATAACTAAAAGGAAGGCAAGTACTGATACCCAAGACAATGGGGAAAGGCCTTCAAGGCATTTCAGAGACCTTCTCAGGAGCTCCTCTCATAACAGGCCCAGAGGCCTAGGAGGGTAGAATGATCTTGTAGACCAGGCCGAGGGACCTGCTCCCCTATGCAGCCTCAGAACACTGCTCCTTCCATCCCTACTGCTTCAGCTCCAGTCTTGTCTTAAAGTACTCCAGGCAGAGCTTGGACCACTGTTCCAGAGGGTGAAAGCCATAAGCCTTGGTGGCTTCCAAGTGGTGTTAAGCCTGAAGATGCACAGAGTGCAAGAGTTGATGCTTGGGAACTTCTGCCTAGATTTCAGAGGATGTATGGAAAAGCTGGTATGCCCAGGCAGTAGCCTGCTGCAGGAGCAAAGCACTCAGAAAGAACCTCTACTAGGGTACTGTGGAGGGAAAATGTGGGGTTGGAGGCTCCACACAAAGTCCTCACTGGGGCACTGCCTAGTGGAGCTTTGAGAAGAGGGTCACCATCCTCCAGACCCCAAAGTGGTAGATCCACTGGCAGCTTGCACCCTGCACCTGAAAAAGCTGTAGGCACTTAATGCCAGTCCATGAGAGCCACTGTGGGGGCTAAACCCTGCGAAGTAGCAGGTGTGGACTGTCCAAGGCTTTGGAAGCCCACTCCTGGCACCAACATGCTCTGGATGTGAGACATGTAGTCAAAGGAGATTATTTTGGAGCTTTAAGATGTAATGACTGCCCTGTTGGGTTTCAGAATTGGGTAGGGCATGTAGCGCCTTTCTTTTGGCTGACTTCTCTCTTTTGGAATGAGAGCATTTACTCAATGCCTATACTCTCATTATATCTTGGAGATGTAACTAGTTTTTATTTTTTACAGGCTCATAGGCAGAAGGGACTTGCCTTGTCTCAGATGAGACTATAGACTTCAGACATTTAAGTTAATGCTAAAATAAGTTAACACTTTGGGAGATTGTTGGGAAGCCATGATTGTATTTTGCAACGTGAGAAGGTCATGAGATTTGAGAGGGGCCAGAAGGAAAATGATATGGTTTGGATTTGTGTCCCCACCCAAATTTCATGTTGAATGGTAATCCCCAATGTTGGAGGGGGGGCCTGGTAGCCACAGCTGATTTTTACCTGTGAGAACCTCCTACTGAACTGAAGGCTGAACTGTTCTACCCAGAAAAACAAAATACTGAGCCAATCACTGGTGAACAAGTTAAGATTTATCAGACTTCTGTCATTCTGGCTCCACAGGAGATGGTGAACTTATTCAAACATCTGGTATATTACTACTTCCACCAGCATCTGAGAAAGCTATTGCATAAAGATTCTTTATAAAACAAACTCATATAGAGTCTTTGCTGCTGAAAACATGCAGAGCCTAAGCTAGGTGACCATAGACTATGCACATTAAAGTCACATATTCAAGAGAAAAAAAGAAAAAATATTCAGTTGGATAAAAAATAAATTTAAAACTAGTAAGAAGAAATAGTTTCCCAAATGAGAAGGAACCAGAAAAATAATTCTAGCAATATAAGAAAACAGTTTTGCAACACTTCAAAAAAAAATCACATGAACTATTCAGCAATGGATCCAAACCAAAATAAAATCTTTTAAATATCAGTTAGATAATTCAAAATGTTGATTATTAATTTGCTTAATGTGATCCAAGAGAATGTTGAAAACAAACACAAAGCAACTTAAAAAAATTCTCAGAATATGATTTTAAAATATTCTAAAGAGAAATATATTTAGAAAAAAATAGAACTTCTGGAAATTAAAGACACATTTAGAAAATCACAAAATGCAGTGGATTGTTTTAACAATATGTGAGACCCAGTAGAAGAAAGAATTTCAGAGCTTGAAGGCAAGACTTTTGAACTAACCCAATCAGATGAAAATAACAAAAAAAAAATTAAAAAATGAACAAAGTATTCAAGGAATATGGGATTATGTAAAATGTCCAAGCCTAAGAATCATAGGCATTTCTGAGGGAGAATAAAATTTAAAAGTTTGGAAAATTTTTTTTAGGAAATAATTGAAATACATTTCCTTTGTCTTACTAGAGATTTATACATCCAAATATAAGAAGGTCATGGAACTCCTGAAAGATTCACTGCAAAAGGGATATCACCAAGCCATGGTCATCAGGCTACATAAAGTCAATATGAAGGAAATAATTTTAAGAACAGTGAGAGAAAGTAATAAAGTATAGAGAAAAATGTTTCAGACTAACAGCAGACTTCTCAGCAGAAACCTTGAAAGCCAGAAGGGATTGGGGTCCCTATATCTAGTCTTCTTAAATAGAGTAACTGTCAGCCAAGTGTTTTGTATCCAGCAAAACTAAGTTTCATAAATAAAGGAGAAATAAAATCTTTCCCAGACAAGCAAAGGCTGAGGGAATTTATCACCACTAAACTAGCCTTATACAACATGCCCAAAGGAGTTATAAATATTGAACTGAAAGGTCAATATGCATAATATGCATCAGTATAAATAAATACTTAAAAATAAAAAACACACAGGGCTTATAAAACTGTAACCCATTAAAGAAAACAAAGCAACCAGGTAACAATCAATATGACAACTGCAACACTGCATAACAAATCAATATTAATGTTCAATATAAATAATCCAAATGCCCCACTTAAGAGATACACATTGGCAAAAATGGACAATGAAATAACACAAACGTGGCTGGCTGCAGTTGCTCATGACTAAAATTCCATCACTTGGGAGGCCAAAGTGGGCCTACATTTTGAGCCCAGAAGCTCGAGGCCAGCCTGGGCAGCATAGCAAGACCCTGTCTTTAAAAAAACATTAAAAAGTTGGTTAGGCATAATGGTGTGCCCCTATAGTACGAGCCACTCAGAATTCTGAGGTGGGAAAATCCCTTGACTGCTGGAGTTTGAGGCTGCAGTGAGCTATCATTGTGCCACTTCACTCAGCCTGGGTGACACAGTTGAGACCTTGTCTCAATAAATAAATAAATAAATAAATAAACAAACACACAAAAAAATGCAATTCAAGTATCTGCTGCCTTTAAGAGTTCCACCTAACTTGTAGATTATTTTGACTCTTTTTTTTTTTTTTTTTTTTTCTGAGATGGAGTCTCACTCTGCTTCCCAGGCTGGAGTGCAGTGGCATGATCATTGCTCACTGCAGCCTTGACCTCACAGGCTCAAGCAATCCTCCCACATCAGCTCCCAAGTAGCTGGGACTACAGATGTGCACCACCACACCTGACTAATTTTCGTATTTTTTTGTAGAGACAATGTTTCACCATGTTCTCAGGCTGGTCTCAAAAACTCCTGGACTCAAGAGATCTATCCACCTCAGACTCTCAAAGTGCTGGGATTACAGGTGTGAGCCACCGCACCCACCAGACTAACTTTTAGATTCTTATAGACTCAAGGTAAATAGGTGAAAAAATATTCCATGCAAATAGAAACAAAAGTGACCAAAAATAGTCTCTTCTAAGAACAGACTTTATATCAGCAATAGTAAAAATAAAAAGGCAAAAGACGTCATTATGTAAACATAAAAAGATCAATTCAATAAGAAAATGTAACGATTCTAACTATATATGTAACTAAATCTGGAGCTCCCTGATTCAGAAAAGAAATACTACTAGACCTAAGAAAATAGAAAGACAGCAATACAATAATAGTGGGAGACTTCAACACTCCACTGACAGCAGTAGACAGATTATAGAGGTAGAAATTTAACAATGAAACACTGGCCTTAAATTGGACTCTAGAACAAACAAAACTAACAGATATTTGTCACAAACATTATACCTCAAAGCTGCAGAATACACATTCTTATCAGCACATGGAACATTTTCTAAGATTGACCATATTACAGGCAACAAAACGAATCTGAATAATTTTTTAAATCAAAATTATATTAATTATCCTCTCAGACCACAGTGGAATAAAACTAGAAATTACTTCCAAAAGAAACTCACAAAACTATACAGATACATGGAAATCAAATAATTGGCTCCTGAAGAATTTTTCTATCAGCAATAATATTAATATGAAAATTTAATCATTTTTTTCTTTGAGATGGGATATTTCTCTGTCATCCTGGCTGGAGTGCAGTGGCACAATCATAGGTCACTTCAGCCTCAAACTCCTAGGATCAAGCAATCCTCTTGTCTCAGCCTCCTGAGTAGCTGGTACGTCAAGCATGTTCCACCATGTCTGGCTAATTTTCTTATTTTTATTTTTTGAAGGGACAGGGTCTTGCTATTTTCCCAGGCTAGTCTTGAGCTCCCGACCTCAAATAATCCTTCTACTTTTACCTCCTAGAGTGCTGGGTTTACAGGCATGACACTATGCCAAACCCCTGAAATACACCATAAAATTGGCACAAGTTATCAAAATCTCTGGGATACAGCAAAATTCATGCTAAGAGAAAAGTTTCTAGAGCTAAATAGCTACATCAAAAAGACAGAAAAATCACTAGTTGACAATCTAACATTACACCTCAAGGATCTAGAGAAGCAAGAAAAACAAAACAAGATGCTAACTGAAGAAAATAAATACCAAAGATTGAAGAAGATCTAAATGATTGAAACAAGACAAATACAAACTATTAATAAAATTAAAAGGTGGCTCTTTGAAAAGATAAACAAGATTGATAACAGCTAGATTAACCAAGACAAAAAGAGAGAAGATTCAAATAAGCTCAATCAGAAATGAAAATAATGTCTTATATCACAAAAATACAAAATATCTGAGACGACTATGAACACCTCTATGTACACAAACTAGAAAAATTACAGAAAATGAATAAATTCCTGGAAATGTATAAGCCCCCAAAGCTTGAATCAGGAATACACAGAAATCCTGAGCAGACCAAAAATAAGCAGTGAGACTAAATCAGTAATAAAATATCTCCCAACAGCAACAAAAAAATCCAGGACCAGATAGATTCACAGCCAATTTCTACCAGATGTTTAAAGAACTGGTAGCAGTTACACTGAAACCATTTCAAAGGACCAAGAAGGAGAGAATTCTCTGTAACTCTTTCTCAGAAGCCAGTGTCACATTGAAACCAAAGTTCAAAAGATCAAGAAGGAGGGAATTCTCTGTAACTCCTTCTCAAAAGCCAATATCACCTTGAAACCAAAGTGAGAAAAAGACACAAGAAAAAAAGAAAACTACAGACCAGTATTCCTAATAAACATAGATTCAAAAATCTTCAAAAAATACCAGCAAACTGAATCCAACATCACATCAAAAAATAATTTACCACAATCAAGTGGGTTTATTCCAGGTATGCAAGCATGGTTCAACATATGTAAGTCAATAAATATGAGTCACCACAAAAACAGAATTAAAAACAAAAATCATACAATCATCTTAGTAGATGCAGAAAAAGCATTAGATAAAATCCAACACTCTTTGATAAAAACCCTCAAAAAACTAGGCACTGAAGGAACATACATCAAAATAATCAGAGACATCTTATACAAATCCACAGCCAACATCACACTAAATGGGGAAAAGTTGAAAGCATTCATTCTAAGAACTGGAACAAAACTAAAATGCCCTCATTCACCATTTCTATTCAAAACAATACAGGAAGTTCCAGCCGGAAAAATCAGGCAAGAGAAAAAAATAATGCCCATCCAAATTGAAAAAGAGGAAGTCAAGCTATTTCTGTTTTCCAATAATATGATCTTATACCTTAAAGACTCTTCCAGAAGATTACTAGATTTGATAAATGAATTCAGTAAAGTCTCAGATTACAAAATCAAGGTACGTAAAACAGGAGCACTGTTATACACCAGAAACAACCAAGCCGTTAATCAAGTAAAAAACTCAATCCCATTTACAATAGCTGCAAGTAAAATAAAATATGTAGGAATACATTTACCCAAGGGGGTGAAAGACCTCTGTAAGAAGAAGTAAAAAGCACTAAAGAAATACATCGTAGATGACAGGAACAAATGGAAACATATTACATTCTCACGGATTGAAAGTATCTGTATTGTGAAAATGACTATACTGCCCAAGCAATCTACAGATTCAATGAAATTCTTCTCAAAATACCAATGTTGTTTTTTTTCACAGACTTAGCAAAAAACAATCCTAAAATTTGTATAGAACCAATAAATCACCTGAATAGCCAATGCAATCCTGATCCAAAAATAAATCTGTAGGCATCACATTACAAAATTGAAATTTATAGTAGCCAAAAAAGCATGCTAATTGTATAAAAATAGATACAAAGACCAATGGAGTAGAATAGAGAACCTTTAAATAAAGCCCAATGGCTACAACAACTAATCTTTGACAAAGCCAAAAACAAAAAACAAAAAAACAAAAAATGTACACTGGAGAAAGGGCACTTTGTTCAATAAATGGTGGAGAAAATTGGATGGCCACATACAGGAAAATGAAACTGGATCCCTATATCTCACCACACACAAGGATTAAGTAAAGTTAGATTAAAGGCTTAAACCATTAAAATTATACAAGAAAACCTGGGATAAGCTCTTCTGGACATTGGCCTATGCAAGGAATTTATTACTAAGATTTCAAAAGCAAATATAAGTAAAACAAAAGTAAATAAATTGGACTTAATTAAACTAAAAAGCTTCTGCACAGCAAAAGAAATAATAAACAGAATAAACAGGCAACGTATAGAAGGGAGAAAATATTTGCAAACTATACATCCACAAGAGGAAAACTAATATTCAGAATCTACAAGGAAGTTAAAAAAATAGGAAGAAAAAAACCAAATAATCCCATGAAAATGTGAGCAAATGACACGAAGGGACATTTTTCCAAAGAAGATATACACATGGCCAACAAACACGCAAAAAAGAAACATATCTCAAAATAATGGGAGCCATCTAGGACAAATCCACAGCCAACATATGCAAATCAATAAATGTGATTGACTCAACATCACTAATCAAATGCCCAACTTCATTAATTATCAGGGAAATGAAAATTGAAACCACAGTGAAATACCACCTTACCCCAACCAGAATGACCATTATTAAACACTCACAAAACACTGGATATTGGTATCGATATAATGAAAAGGTATCACTTACACATTGTTGGTGGGAATGTAAGTTAGCACAACCTCTATGGAAAAGAGTATGGAGATGTATCAAAGAATAAAAAGCACATCTATCATTCAATACAGCAATCCAACGATGGAGTATCTATACTCTGGTTTCTCTTCAGATCGTATAAATCTTTTGCCTTTTACGATGGAGTATCTACCCAAAAGAAAAGAAGTCATTGTATTTAAAAGAAATCTACACATGTATGTTTAATGCTGCACAATTCACTATTGGAAAAAAAAAAAAACTTGGATGGATCTGGAGGTTATTATTCTAAGTGAAGTAACTCAGGAATAGAAAACCAGATACTGCATGTTCTCACTTATAAGTGATAGCTAAGTTATGTGTTTGTAAAGGCATATAGAGTGGTATAATGGACATTGGAGACTCAGAAGAGAGGAGGTTAGGAAGGGAAATAAATGAAAAATTACCTATTGGGTTCAGTGACGCTAAATGCCCAGACTTCACCACTATAAAATTCATCCGTGTAATGAAAAACCACTTGTATTCCTGAAGCTATTGGAAAAAGTAATTATATAACTTTTGAATATGCCATGTTTTGTATTTTTGCTTTGGAATCCATGAAAATACATAGAAAATATTTCAATAAAATTAAATGTTGAGATGCCATTCCTAAAACTCAAATAAACAGTTAATATAAATAAGTCTAACTGAATATCAAGTTGGAGGTATAACTACACGAAGAAAAAAAAATTAAGTTACTTTGAAACCTAGTAATTTGACCAGATGTGGTGGTGTATGTCTGCATTTCCAAAACTTTGGGAGGTCGAGGTGGAAGAATCGCTTGAGACCAGGAGTTTGAGACCAGTCTGGGCAACATAGTAAGACCACATATACACAGAAAAACAAAACAGTAATTGGACTGTATATCACTTATAAAATACATCCTAAAAACAAAGAATATCATTAAAAATAACACACTTTTAAATTTCAACATGCTATTAATGGGAGTATTAGTGTTGTTATTCTAAAAATTGTGTGTGTATGTGTGTGTCTGTATGTACTGTGGGATAAAGCAAATTAGTAGTTATAGCGAATGAATTGCAAGGGAAAAAAATGAGAGGAATGGGGATCTATAGATCATTGTTCTCAAATTCATATGAGCATTAGCATCACACATAGAGATTAAAAATAAAAAACTGATGCCTACAGCCTATGACAAGGGATACTGATTTAACTTGTCAGGTGTATAGCTTAGACATCAGGATTTTTAAAGACCCACCCTCAATTGATTCTGACATGTAACTAAGATTACAAACCACTGCTATAGATTGAAAGAGGCTTAAGAAACATTTTAACACATTGCAATGTTTTATACATATTAATTGTCCTGATTAAAAAAAGTTAGAAGATCAATGATTAGGGTAATTTAATGATATTAAAGTATTTTAATTAATATTGTTTTAATTACCATAAAGCATTCTGGTGATTTTTAAAGGGTCTTTATCTTTTAGAGGTTTATATTAAAATATTTACAGATAAAGTAATAAAATTTATGTTTTATTTCAGAATAATTGGGGGTTTTGGGGGTACAGGTAAAACAAGTTGATAATTTTTGAAACTCAATGATGGGTATGTGGGGGTTAATATACTATTCTACACTTTTTATTAGCATAATTTTAGATAATATAAAGCAATAACAAATATAACCACACTTTCACTTTCTCCCTCTACTGCATCTATCAATCTTACCTATATTTTTTCCTAGATAGTATTCCATTTGTTGCAATGGTTGACTTCTATAAGTCTCCTATAACCCCCTTCTCAAATTTCTCTCCTCCCACTCTCTATTGAAACCACACAAATCAAAATTTTATCCCCACTACACTATAGAAACAACTCTTTTCAAGGCCACTAATTATTTCTACAGTGTAAAATTGACCATGTGACTTTCACTTTTCCTATACTATGGTTTGTTTATGTTCCTTCCACAATACGTATTTTGAAATCCTAACTCCTAATGACATGGTATTAGGAAGTGGGTCTTTTGGAAAGTGATTAGGTAATGAGGACTCTTGATAAATGCCTTCATACAGAAGACTCCAGACAACTAGCTCACCCCTTTTGCCATGTGAAGACACAGTGAGAAGACAGCCATCGAAGAACCAGAAAGTAGACTTTCACCAGACACCACATCTGCCGGCACCCTGATCTTGGACTTTTCAACCTCCAGAACTGTGAGAAATAAACTTTTCTTGTTTATAAGCCATCCAGTTTATGGTATTTTGTTATAGCAGCCTGAAGGAACTAAGACATCCTGTAACTTTACATACCCACATAATTTGACAGTTCATCACTCAGTTTTTTTTTTTTTTTTTTTGAGACAGGGTCTCGCTATGTCACCCAGGCTGGAGTGCAGTGATACAAGGAGGGTTCACTGCAATTTCTACCTCCCGGGCTCAAAGGATTCTCCCACCTCAGCATCCCTAGTAGCTGGTGTTAGTATGAACTGCACCATTTTATAAGCTCACCGCTATTTTGCAGACCTCAGTTAAAGTGAAACATTTTATGGGAGTTTGGACCATGAGAAATATCCTGCCTAACCACCTGACTACAAGGCGGACAAGGGCCCACTAAAGAAACATCTCCATTATATCTTGCTGGACAAAGTTCCAAGAAACACCACGATGACATTCCACTGGAACAAGGACAAGAATTGCCTCATCATGGGAATATCTTATCAATATTTTGCGGGGCAGCAAGCCATACTGCCCAGACCACTCCCACCCACACCTATAAACTGCCCCAGCCTGTAAGCAGTGGTGGGCTCTGGCATTAGACTGGTCCCCCACTTCTATAGGTTTTATGCTGGACACAAAGCCTGGATTTGCTGTTGGGTTGCTCTCTTTTGGTGTGTGTGTCTTTCTTTAACCCTCATCTTCCCTTCAAAACCTAATAGCTGGCACTACAGGAGTGCTCTACTATGCCTGGATAATTATTGCATTTTTTTTTTTTTTGGAGAGACAGTGCTTTACCATTTTGCCCAGGTGGGTCTTGAACTCCTGGGCTCAAGCAATCCAGCCACTTCGGCCTCCCAAAGTGCTGGGATTACAGGTGCAAGTCACTGTGCCTAGCCCACTCCATTCTTTATGAAACACTTTTCTTTATTTCACTTATAGAAAATTGTGCTCCCACAGTTGACTTTTTTTCTCACCAGTTTTTTATTCTCAATCTTTTTTACTGCTCTTGTCTCATAATCTTTCACATACCTCCACCCTCTTTGTTTAAATAACCCTTACAAACTGGAGTGTCTCTCTTCCTGAATCTCTTTTCCATCTATACCCACTCCTTTGAAAAGGTCATCTCCTCTGATGGCTGTAAATACTATATGTATACTGATTATTTCAAGTTACTATGGCTATCACAGGATGCATAACAGTCTTTTATGCTCTTGAAATATCATATGCTTTATGCTTGGTAACAATGACCACCTTAATTTTGAAAAGTAAAAATTTTTGTAAACCAAAAATAAAATTATAAGGCCATCAGCATTCTGAATGGACCCCTCCTCTTGGCCAAGGACTTTCCAAAGTTAACCTGAAAAACTAGCTCAGGCCATGATGGGAAGGGGAAGCCAGAAATGCTTCATTATACTCTCCTCCCTTTTAGAATTCAGGAAAAGCTGACCGCATTAACATCAACACAGACCTTAAGTCTGATAAGAAACAATTAGAATGTATTCTCTCATTGTAACCCAGGCATTCTTTTATATTGATAACAACTCTTTCAACCAATGGCCAATCAGAAAATTTTTAAGTCTCTCTATGATCTAGAAGCCCCAGCTTTGAGTTGTTCTGCCCTTCCAGGTGGAACCAATGTAAATCTTACACATATTGATTGACGTATTATGTCTCCCTAAAATATATAAAAGCAAACTGTACCCCAACCACCTGGAGCACTCATTACCAGGACCTCTTGAGGCGGTGTTACAGGCATGTTCTTAATCTTGGCATTAAATAAACTTTCTAAATTAATTGAGATCTATCTCGGATACTTTTCAGTTCACATCCTATATACCCTAAAGAAAATAGGATTATAAGAACGTTAAAAAAAAAAAAAAAAAGAGAGAGATAATCCAACAAACACAACCTTAGCCATTGTGTGTTTAACTAAAAAGTTAAAACTGAAACTATAAATCATTTAGTAATTCTTAAAATGAACATGTATCAAACCTAAAATATGAACTATTTACAATAAATTTCACAGTACTCAATATTTTAATTTTGGATAAAAAGACTGAAAATTAACTTACTAAAGATTCACAATAAGAATTGATAAAAAAAAGAAGTAGGAAAATAGAATTCAAAAATAAGAAAATTTAGATGTAATAAACAAAAAGTTCGGGTCATCAAAATACACATAAAAAGATGAGTATATGTAAAGTTTTCAGAGCTGATTTTAATTTAATTTAATATGAGGATTGGACATTTCAAAAGCTTTTTACAACTCTAATGAAATAAGATCCAATATAGGCTGCATAGCCCCATGAGCCACAGGATAGCTGGAATCCCAAGAACCCATTATTTTGAAGGGTTACTTCATAAGCAATAATAATCAGAGCCAATGAAATTTAGGATCAAATGCTTTGGCTACTTGCCATGAAATAAGCCCTTGTAAAGTTCACAGATTCCTTTGAATGGCATTTCTTTCCAATTTTCTGAGTGCTCTTTAAAAAGCAGCCAGAATGCCAGAGAATATAAAGTACATCTTGTGCTTTATTTCTGCCTCTGTATTGCACTCCTCTTGCTTGTGCCCTGCTGAGTACTGTGCACCTCATACATCAATATTAATATAGTGCTATCTCATATATCCTGAAAACTATGACTAAGTCTTAAGGGGCAATGTTTCATAAATTAAATATTTTGATATGTATAACTTCTTTTTTATTAGTTCTGAAGAGAAGCTTGTATGAATTGTTTTTTATGGCATATCATATTATTGAATTTAAAATAACTTTCATGTCTTTTCTTTGTATATGCAACACTTTATTTGTGAACGGTTAACCACTTCACAGGAAACGAATGATTGGAACCTTAAAACAACACAGAAAAATTGTTTTGTGTCTTCATTTTCGTACTTTAATTTTTATTAATGTGTCACCACCATCTTAAGTATTTTATGATCTACATTTTCACATGTCAAATTATTTTATATTTTTTGAGAGTCAACTGAAATTCCTTGACTTTATAACTATCGTGGACAAAAAAAAATTGAAGGTCCCATTTTATACTTTCCAATTAAGGTGGATGTTGAAAATAAAATATGAAAAAATCATTTTTAAAACAATCTGGGTGTTACATCTCACTTCCCCAAAACAGATTTATTTTATTCTAAGAATAATTTTCTTCTAGTTTAAATAAATAGAAAACAATAATTTCTTGTTTAGGTTGACCTTTACAGATTTCTCCTCGATTAAATGTGTCTATTTCCAACTTAGATGTGAATCTGTTCATATCCTGAATATTAAAATTGTTTTTATATCTTAGAATCATTTTACTTATTTATTCTTCATTATTATTATTTTTAAATGAGATCTCACTCTGTCATCCAGAGTGGAGTGCAGTGGTGCTATCATAGCTCACTGCAGTTTCAAACTCCTGGTCTCAAGGAAATCCTCTCTCCTCAGCCTCCTAAGTATCTGGGACTACAGGCACATGCAAACCTACCTGGCAATTTAAAAAAAAATTTTAGAGAGGATCTCGCTTTGTTGCCCAGGCTGGCCTTGAACTCCCAGGCTCTAGCTATCCTCCCACCTTAGCCTCCCAAAGTGCTGGGATTACAGGTATGAACCACCACATCCTGCCCCTTAGAGGCATTTTTAAAATGAAAATTTTACTTTAGACTACATGAGATATCTGGATATACTGAATATTTTTTTATGTTATTTTGTGAGAAATTTTTTAACTAGAACCAAATTTATAGAAATCATATGACAAGGTAACTAAGAATATGAAAACAATGTAAAAGAAAAAAGAAACCCATAAAATGTCTTAAATTAAAGCTAAAGAGAATTTAGTCTATTAAACAAAACTTATTAGCCAATAATGAAAAAAAAAGTACTCACAGTACAATATCATTTGTTATTGTTAAAATATTATTTTCCCCACCAGACTCTACCTTCATTTTACCCCATTATATATAGTACTCTTCTATTTTTCCATAAGAAGTTGAAAAATAGGTCTATCATTTTACCACTATGTTATTTTTTAAGCATGACTTAAAAATAGTCTCATTTTATAAAATGAACCTCTAAGACCAAGATACACTTCTTATCTCTTTGTTATCTTCCATGCCAAGACTCTCTTTACAGACATGATAATTGAAAATCCCATTGAACTGTTAGACTTCATTTTAATTTTCAGGGTCAAGATAAAAATAATTTTCCTCACTCTTTTTGATCGCCGTTTTTAAAAACAATTTCTGTTTCTATCAAGCTCCCTGTTCTTAGCAAATAATCTTCATTAAATTTTATCTTTAATTTTTGTTGGTATACAGTACAGGTATATATTTATGGGTTACATGAGCTATTTTGATACAGGCATGCAATACATAATAATCACATTATGGAAAACTGGATATCCATCCTCTCATGCACTTACCCTTTGTGTTATAAACAATCCACTTACACTCTTTTAGTTATTTTAAAATGTAAAATTAAATTATTATTCACTATAATCCCCTTTTTGTGCAAATAGTAGGTCTTAATCATTCTTTCAAACAGTTTATTTTTGTGTGCATTAACCATCCCCATCTCGTTTCTGACCACCCCCCCACTACATTTCTCAGCCTCTGATAATCATACTTCTATTCTCTATCTTCAGGAGTTCAATTGTTTTGATCTTTAGAACAAACAAAGAACATGTAAAAACATAATGAACTCCAGTTCCATTTATGTTGTTGCAAAAGACAGAATCTCATTTTCTTTTAATCACTGAATAGTGTTCCATTGCGTTAAAGTACCACATTTCCTTTATCCATTCATCTGTTAACAGACACTTAGGTTGCTTTCACATTTTGGCTATTGTGAACAGTGCTGCAACAAATAAGGGAGTGCAGATATCTCTTTAATATACTGTTCTCTTTTCTTTAGATATATACCTAGCAGTGAGGATGCTGGATTTTATTTTATTTATTGGAGGAACCTCCAACCTGTTCTTCATAGTGGTTGCAATAACTTACATTCCCACCAACAGTGTACGAGGTTTCCCTTTTCTTCAAAACCTCACCAGCAGGTGCTGTTTCCTGACTTTTGGATAAAAGCCATTTTGACTGTGTTAAGATGACATCTCACTGTAGTTTTGATTTGCATTTCTCTGATGATCAGGGGTATTGAACACTTTTCCATATGCCTCTTTGTCATTTGTGTGTCTTCTTTTGAGAAAAGTCTATTCAAATCTTTTGAACATTTTTAAGTTGTGTTATTGAATTTTTTCCTATAGAGTTGTTTGAGATCATTTTATATTCTGGGTATAAATGCCCTATCAGATGAGTAGCTTGCAAATATTCTCTCTCATTTTGTGGGCTGTCTTTTCACTTGGTTGATTGTATGCTTTATTGTGCAGAAGCTTTTTAACTTCTATTTGTCCATTTTTGCTTTGGTTCCCATTTTGCTTATGGTGTATTGCTCAATAAATTTTTGCCCAGAAAAAATCTCCAAAGTCCTGGATATTTACCCCAAAGTTTTCTGGTAGCATAGTTTGAGATCTTAGATTTAAGTCTTTAATCCATTCTGATTTGATTTTTGTATGAGGTGAGAGATGGGGATCAAGTTTTAGTCTTCTGCATATAGATACACAGTTTTCTGAGCACTATTTATTGCATCTTTTCTTCAATGTATGTTCTGGCACTTTTGTTGAAAATGAGTTCACTGTAGGTGTGCCAAATTTTTTCTGTGTTCTCTATTCTGTTCTATTGGTCTATGTGTCTGTATTTATGCCAGTACCATACTGTTTTTGTTACTATAGCTCTGTAGTATAATTTGAAGTCAGGTAATATAATTCCTCCAGTTTTGTTCTTTATGCTTAAAATAGCTTTGGCTATTCTGGGTCTTTTGTGATTCCATACAAATTTTAGGGGTTTTTTTAATTTCTGTGAAGAATGACATTGTTGTTTTGATAGGGATCACATTGAATCCAGATTGCTTTCAGTAGTATGGACATTTTAACAATATTGATTCTTCCAATCCATAATCAGAAAATGTTGTTCTACTTTTTGTGTCATTTTCACTTTCTTTAATCAGTACATTATGGTTTTTATTGTAGAGATCTTATGCTTTTTGGTTAAGTTAATTTCTAGGTATTTAATTTTATCTGTAGCTATTGTAAATGCTTTTTAAAATTTTTTTCTTAGAAAATTTATTTATAGAATATTGATGGCCTGTAATTTTAAGAGAGTATTTTTTATTGATGAAAACAACTAGATGGAAAAGATTCCTAACTAAATGGCCAGTTTCAGGTACTGTGACAAATAAATGTCCATTCTACTTAATAATCTGGCTTCCTCTATTATATATCCCTGTCTTTTGAATTTGTTGCATATAAAGCATTTCCCAATCCTGTAATTATTAATGTTGAACTTATAAATTTTAAACTACAAATCTGAGAATATATCCTAAATCCAGCCCTGTAATACTTTGAAATACATTGGTTTTCTCTTTTATAGATTTTTAGCTGCAACTAAGACAATAAAACATCTGGCATGTAAAATTGTGGTTTGAAAAGTAGCCCTCAAGATTCTCCCCCCCCCCAAAAAAATTTACCCCTACTAGCCTATTGCAAATATTTAAATCACATCTCTTCTTTTGGGTTAAAGAAATATTCTACTTGCATTTTTCCACCAAAATATGAATATGCAAGAATTCTTCTTTAGAGTTGCTGAAAATGTATTGCTTCTCAGAATGATCTTGAAAACATTAAGAAAAAACAGTTCTTATTTTCAATTTAGGGTATGAAATCAAAATTTCTAGGGCTTGGACCAAGGCATCTGTAATTTTAAAAACCCACCTAGGTGGTTTTGATGTATACCTTTGTCATAGCCTATTTGGGATGCTCTAACCAAATACCATAATTTTGGTGGCTTTTAAATGAAGAAATTTATTTCTCACATTTCTGGAGGTTAGAAAGTCCAAGATCATGATGTCAACAGATTTGATGTCTGGTGTAGAATCACTTTCTTGTCTATAGAATGGAGTCTTTTTATTGTGTTCTCACATGGTGGAAGGAGTGAACAAGCTCTTTCAGTTCTATTTTATAGAGGCACTAATTCTATTCATGAGCGGCACGCTTACGACCTATTGCCTTCCAAAGGCCAGCTTCCTGATACAATTACCTTCAGGGTTAGAATTTCAACACATGAATTTTGAAAGGACACAAATATTCAGACCTCAACAGTCTCTGGTATATATTTCAGATGTATACTTCTGGTTAAGATCATTGTTGTAAACCATTATCAGCTATTAGCATCAGTGAGATAGTTATATGACCCTCAGGCCTTATCTAACTTGCTTCAAAATCATAGCAATAAATATAGACAAAATGTAATCACAGAAATGGCTGTTGTGGGACTATAAATAACTAAACATTGTCAATTGAAAATAAGGCAGACACTCTGCTTGTATTAGCCATGCTAGTTTTATATCTATTATATTTCCTGCAGTAACATACATAATCAGAATCATAAAATAATATAAAAAGAGACCTCAAAATGTAAGTCAGTCCTTTGCCTTCCGTCAAGTGAAATACTTTATTGCCGTCCATTTTTATGATCATGTAACTGAGAGAGGCATTGTTTTGCTCAACTTAACTACAGCTTGAGATTTTAACGATTGAAGTGCTTGTAGAGCCACATGATTCTGATTCTTTACTTCATTTTCATTAATTTATGTAATTTTACTCTCTTAAGACTAAACAGGGCCAGTTGTGGTGGTGCACGCCTGTAGTCCCAGCACACTGGGAGGCTGAGGCAGGAGGGTTGCTTGAGCCCAGGAACTGAAGGCAAACCTAAGCAACATACTGAGATCCTGTCTCTTAAAATATATATTATATATATTTAAAGAGAGGTATATATAGCATATATACACATATATAGACACATATATGCATGTATATACATAGTGTTCTGCTCAACTTACTACTGTTGTTTGCTCAACAACTTAGTTATATATGTATATAACTAAAGCAAATGTGTTCTGAATATAGCATATACCACAGAAGTTGATTTGATACCTCTTTATGTTTTCTAAACATAAAAAACTACCAATTCAAAGCTTCTCATTGATTGAGGTGAAAAATTACAAATTGAAATTTGACTAAAGTTAGATAATTTATTTATACATGTGTAAACACATATCTATGAACTTATCTTTATTTATAGAAAGTAATAAACTAATTTTAAAATTATAATTTATTATCCACCTCCAACTCAGTAATAAACCAAGTATAGTTAATGTCACCTTAGACACTTCAATTTTTCTATTTTTCTCATTTGCCTCACATGACTCATAGCAAATTGCTATATTCATCTTTAAGTTTATGAATTTTGTATCTCAGAAAACAAAATTTGAAAATGCTTCCTAATTTGTCTTCATCACTCTCAGAATAAATTATACCAATATTTAAAATTATTATAATGTTGATAGCAAACTCTCGTAGGCAACTTCCATATCAGTCCGTTGGTTGATTCATATATTTTATTTAGATAATCTGGCAACTGCAAAAACATTTATCCTATAACTGCATGATTGTAAGGATAACATTTTCAGACAGAGGAGAACTATTATTCAGTCAGGTATATTTAGATTGCTGTGTTTTCCCATTAATATCTCATTCAAATTCACAACAAGGACATAATAGGAAGAAAGTAGACATGACCTATCAATGCCAGAAAAAGCAACCAATATAGAGATGCTTTGACTAATATGTCACTAAACTAAGTTAGCTTTTAAATTACATTTATAATTTCTTCTCATTCTGTGATTATGCTCATTTGACAGAAAAAAATTAAAAACTTAAATTCGCTCCCCTTCCAATATCAGGGGATGAATAGGAAAGGGAATTAGGTGCTGAGAGGGGCAGATAAATAGAAAACTTTTTGTAAAACATCTCTAACCAAAAAAAAAAAAAAAAAAAAAGGCACATTAAAAAATTGATGCTAGAAGTATAGGCTAGGTGTGCTGAGCCACATCTGTAATCCTAGCGCTTTGGGAGGCTGAAGTGGATGGATTGCTTGAGCTCGGAAGTTCAAGACCACCCTGGACAACATAGTGAGAACTTGTCTCTAAAAAAGAAAAATGAAGAAAAGTAAGAATGGCATCCAAAGTACTTGACAATTAGTTTTTCATGGATACCAGCCAATCATAACAGCCACTGTGACTAATCAGAACCAATACTTGAAATTTTAAAAAGTGCTATTTGTACTTAATAAAATACATGGTGGATGGTTCTAGAAATCTAAATTTTAAGATAAGATCAAATATTTATTGATCACTTGGCTTAAAATAAGAAGAAAGCCATTGATTTAGTCTCATGATATAGAAAGCTTTTGGCACTATTTATTTCTGGTAAACACAAAATACATGGCAATATTAAACATTCAATAAAGTGTCTCATCATTTTGAAGAAAATGATATAACTCATTCTTAAAATCTGAATTTAAAATTTCTGATTAATTTTGAATAATTTTTAAATAAATTATCAGAACAAATCCAAATTGGTGCTTCACTACCATTTCTTTCCTTTCCCCAATTAGCAAATATTTACTTGCAAATACTTATTAGCAGCAGTCTGCTAAGATATAATTTGTTTTATTTCAACATAAAACTTGGATATCTATACTACTTCACATAAATTGATTGTATTAATTTAAAATGATGCTACTTTAATTTCATATAAAATAAAATTAGTACTTTTAAAAATCAAAATCCTTTAAAATGACAATAACTATTAAATAATAAAGGTGATTTTGTTGAGAGTTTTTTAAAAAAAGAAAGAATTTGGGATTAGCATGCACAACGAGGCAGAGACGGCCTTTGGAAGTGGCCAGGTTTTGCCCCTATGCACCAGTAGCCAGTCTGCAGAGAGAAGGAAGAAGCAGCAAGTATGCACGAAGAGAGAGAATAAAGTCTCAGAAAGAGCCTTTACTTGGCCTTGACAGTCCTTGAATTCTGGTTCTAGCCCTTCCTGGCTGTGAAACATAGATTGTGCTTCCAGTGAATGCCTCTTCTCTGTTTAAACTATAATAGCTGGAGTGTATCTCTGTTGCTTGAAACTGAAAAGACCCCTGATGAACCCATTGATTCAATAGAGGAAATGAGATAATGGCATGCAGAAAGTCTCCACACAATGTTCATGGGAATAGCAGAAATAAATGATTTGGTTACTTTTAATATAAAACACACAACTGGTCCATATGTAAATGCACATGAAGCTTTGATAGTTTAATCCATTTCATGAATGTGTGAATATTTAATGTTTTCTGTTTTAAGAAAAATTTATCCGGTTGGGCGCAGTGGCTCATGCATGTAATCCCCACACTTTGAAAGACCAAGGTGGGAGGATCACTTGAGCCCAAGTGTTTGAGACCGGCCTGGGCAACATACAGAGACTATGTCTCTACAAAAAAAAAAAAAAAATGAAAATAAAAAGAAAAATAAATAGATCAGCCAAGTGTGGTGGTGCATGCTTGTTGTCCCAGCTATTCTGGAAGCTGAGATGGGAGGATTGCTTGGGCCTGGAACGTCAAGACTGCAGAAAGCTATAATCATGCCACTGCATTCCAGGCTGGGCAACAGAGCAAGGCCATGTCTGAAAATAAATAAATACATAAAAAGTTAAGTGTGAAAGGGAAGAGGAGCGTATTGCGTATTTGTATATATGTGTCTATGCATGTATATAATATCTTGCCCATGATGCTCTGCTTATAGATTTGAGGTCTTTAAATCACAAGAACCAGAAAATACTGTTCTAGAATAATTACTACAGCAACGTTTTGCTTTTATACATTTTTAATGTAGGGGACTTTGACAAAGATTAACATTGTTAATGACACTAAAGGAGATATTATCACTTCCTGGAACGCAGTGGCAGATTAGTTTGACTACATAAGATTTGAAATATTCATAGTGATGAACAAATATCAACTAATAAATCTCTTTGATCAAACCGTTGCTTCATTTTAATCTTTAAATGCCAACATGATTTATTTTATATTTGTTATTTTTCTTATATAATTATTTGACTGTTAAAGCAAAGGCATATTTAATTTGGTGTTTCATAGAGAAATACTAGCAAAGAGGGAAAATATTCAATATTTGGAAAAGGAACAGGTTTAGAGGAAGTAAGTAGAATCTGAGATCAAATGATGTTAATTTTGTTACACTCACATGTGATTATGTTTCGCTTCCCTGATTTTGCTTTATCTTTGTTAATAGTATAATTAAAAGCACGTTTGGGTAAAAAAATTTCAAATTTTGTTATTTCTTTTTCTTTCTATATTATACTAGCATGGGGCAGCACTATAAAGTTGAATACAAACAATGCTAGTGGGAAACCTTGTCTCATGTTTTACTCTAAAAAATTACCTAAAAAATCATAGTAAAATATGTGCTGTAATTTTTTTTTGAGACGGAGTCTCGCTCTGTCACCCAGGCTGGAGTGCAGTGGTGCGATCTTGGCTCACTGCAAGCTCCACCTCCCAGGTTCACGCCATTCTTCTGCCTCAGCCTCCCGAGTAGCTGGGACTACAGACACCTGCCACCACGTCCCGCTAATTTTTTGTATTTTTAGTAGAGATGGGGTTTCACC
This sequence comes from Homo sapiens, assembly GCF_000001405.40. NCBI lineage: Eukaryota > Metazoa > Chordata > Mammalia > Primates > Hominidae > Homo > Homo sapiens. The sequence continues at coordinate 89,013,128 of NC_000023.11, read as the reverse complement.
GTGTTAGCCAGGATGGTCTTGATCTCCTGACCTCGTGATCTGCCTGCCTTGGCCTCCCAAAGTGCTGGGATTACAGGCATGAGCCACTGCGCCCGGCCTGTAATTTTTAAATTATTGATATATAAACCTAATCAGAATATGGAAGTTCATTATATTCCTACTTTGTTGAAAAGTATTTATACTGACAGATTTAACATTTAACCAATAGCTTTTTTTGCTTTTTTGAGTTGGTGTGTTGATTAATCAAATGGTTGTTCTCTACTGTTAAAGTCAAATATAATTAGCCACAGAAAGATACACAATAGAGGTTGTGAAATGTCATAGTCTATGAATACATGCAAATTGATTTTTCTACACTACCTGAGTAATTTTCATATCTTCCTTCAAAGTTTTACTTTTGAAAATCACACTTAGTCAAATAAAGTAAACGTCCTTTCAGACTACTTTAAATGAGAAAATATGAACCCTTAACATAAACACTGGTCTAGATTATCTCATGTTTCTTGAAGTTCATCCTACTGATTATTTATTAAAAAGAGGATAATTTCTGTAGAATTAAAATTCTACAGAATTTGAAATAGAATTAAAAATAAAATTATTTTTCAATATGCAGGTCTTCAAAATAATGGCCTTGCCTGCAATAAAATCTTTTTCTAACAAATCATGTTAAGCCTTCTTCAGAGACAGCAAACTGCCTACCAAATCAGGGTGTGTAATCTAAAAATCATGTTCTCTAGCAGGCACTAGAAAGCAAACACGATGAAATCAATTAAAAAATCTTAAGTCATTTTACTAAATGGACAAACGGAAAGTGTGGCCAAATGGAACCCCTTTTACTAGGAGGTGAATGATCCAATGTGTTCTGCTTGGTTATTAACATTTCCCACAGTAAGTGCTTCTAACTCATTTGTTTTCTAACAAGTTGTTAGATGATCTATAGCTGGAGTTTATATTTCTTAAACAAGTATAACCTTTCTAAATATCATTCAGATTAGATGACTTGAGTTTATGTATTCCAGCTTCATTAAAAACAAAAGGCAATAACAGTAACAGATTAGCACCTACCCAAATGTATTATTTTTACAAATAACAGACCAGTTTTATTTAAATCAAGCTAGTTCTTTTTTCAACATCTGTCTTCATTTGAGTAAGCAGCAGTGGAGGCTGACTTTATTGATAAACTCTTGAATTATGTCTGCCTTACCCTATGGTTCTTTACAATAAATAACTTTATAATACCCATTTTGGCATAACACAGAGAATTCTTATATGTCAATTCTCATTAACAACCACAAGAAAAATATTTAGATACACATTTTTGGCAATGATTATGGAAATGATTTATGAAAACGTCTTTAATGTATGTATGTTCTAAGACATGTATTATATACATATACATACATACATATATATAAAAATACATATATAAACACAGACTCAGGCACAAGTGTGCACACACACAAATGGGTATGGGTAGGAAGCAGGAGAAAGAGAGAGAGACTACTTTTAATTTTTTATTTGCCAGATTAACTCATGTTAGCATCCTTGCCAATGTTTATTTTTAATTGTAAGCATAAATAAGATTATCTGAAAAAATACTCATAAATATGAATTTTGGCATAGACGGTGATGTTAAGCCTTTGTTTCCTTAGATTGCCAAACACCTGTTTCATGTACTCTGTTAACTTTGCTGCTCTGTCTTCCGCTTTCCAGCACACAATGTCATCATTCTCTCTCGAAAACTTGATTTTCAGAAAACAGTAGCATTTCAACAACCTGGTTATATGCTCGAGGCACTTCATGCCAAGCTTTTTCAGAGAATGGCATTCAATAGAAGTAATTTGATACAAAAATAACTCCAAACAACAAAAACTATCTGCTATCACTTTTGGGGATATGCTTATTATAGGATAAGGCATTTGAGTACCTAATGTCATATGTGAATTTAAAATGTTCAGCATGATTTAAATATTTTCAAGATACTACAGGTCAATTACTATAATAAATTTGAAAGTACTCTGTGTGTGTGTATTTGTATGTGTGTGTGTGTATGTTTTAACCCAGATACAAATGGTAGTTGAATATTTATATTTTTGAATTTAAAAACCTTAACACAAAATATATTCTGCCTGATGAGGAGTCGGTGGTAGTGATTGATAAGTTCTCTGTTTTATTTGCCTACTGTGTTTAGTTCAGCACTGGAAGAGAAGGGTTCTTTAATCATAACAATAAATCAAAGCTCCTCAATAAAAACACATCAATACTATGAAGGTTTTTTTTTCTTGTAGGTGCTCTTCTTATGGAAACTCTTTTGGACAGCGATAGAAGTGGGATAAAAGAACAAGAATCATGGGTGGGAGAACTGAATGGCAGACAGGATGATTAGAGGGAGAAGAGATAAAGGGTCTCTACAAGCCCAGAAGAAATTATTTGTTGTGGGCTAAAAGATGACCCAAGGAAAACAGTGAAGGAATAATTTACACTTTTCATTGGACTCCAAGGGTACATTACAGTTGCTTATTATTATTTCTATTATTTTCTCAAATGAGTTTTTTTTCTGGTAAAGATGCATATACATACACACAATTACCTGAATATCAAATACATGTGACTTAGTATATTAAAAAGTTTCTTTCATATGTGTGATTCTTGCTTTATTTATATATTCATCTAAAAGCCTAGATCACTAGTTTTAGAATCCTGAAAATCAATTTTCCACTAACATAGCCCCTCCTAATAATTCTTGATGTACATACTCTCTGAGGTAGTTAATAGACTTTGCTTATGCACACATGATCACGCACAGACATATTTTGCAAACACTTTAAATTTTAGATTATTGAAAATTGTTAATAAAGAGATAAGCTACATAATACTTAAATAGGCAGATTACTGATATGGGTTAAATATTCCACAAAATCTCCATTTATATTTGATACATTAAAATATTCATGAGAATTCTCTATTATTAGAGCAAGCCAAGTGGGGTAGAAAGGTTAGGCATGAGGAATTTGGAACCACTGGCTTGAATTCTAAAACAGCTAGGCTGTCGTCTGCTTCTATTGTTGCAGTCAGACTAAGTCCAAGATGATTATAGCTGTATCCCCCAATACAATGGAACATGCATAAGGAAAACTATTACTTTTATTGTATGGTTTTACTCTGATTCAATCCTTGTCAATGTGGCTATTTTTCATTATCTTCCATTCTCTTCTCTCCTCCTGCCAGTAATCACTAGCCGTAATTTTCTCTGAGCTATAAATTCATGTTGTAGGACATCAAAAAACCCTTCTCCACTAATTCCTCTTTTACTAATATTTAAACAAACAGTAAGCCTAAAAACTTGTGCCACTTAGAATAAATACTTTTTTTCAATTCAAAAAAAAAATTTCGTTAAAATTGCATCAGAAATAAAATGATATATTAATAATATGAGGACCTTCAAGTGATTTAATTTGAAAAAAGGTTATTATTTATACTGATACTGAATTATAAATGGACCACCATTATTCATTTTTTAAATGAATGTATGCAATCTATTTTATTTTAACTGATTTTCAATAATTTCCTGAAACTTGGAGCAATTGCCAAAAATATATTGACTCAGTCTATTTTTAAAAAATTTTTCTTACTAACTGATATAATAAAGATGGTATATTGAATAGCTTGGATATAGTTTTTCAGAATTATACATTTCTCTATGAGTTGAATTAATCATTTTTAGAAAAAATAATATTATTTTCAGGGCATGTTATTTTGCATACCTGTGGTAATATATGTATTAAGGAAAACAATCTCATATATGAAGTAAAACAGACTCAGAAACTGATTTGAAAACTCTTCAGAAAATGTTCACCCACTTGACCAAAGCTAGCATATTCTGAATTGTGAACATCAGGAAAAACAATGATTTATTAATCAACATAAGAAAAAATCAGTTTAAAAAAACACATATATTACTTTATCTCTGTAAATGAGAGACACATAAAAATAATTCTATCATCTCCTACAAACTTATTAAAAACCAAAATGTAGCAAAGTATAGAAAGATATTAATATCCTATTGCTTCTGTAGCAGATGACCACAAACTTAATGGTTTGATAAAACACAAATATATTCTCTGACATGTTGAGGGGTCAGAAGTACAAATTGGGTTTTAAAGAAATAAACCAAGTGGTCTGCAGAGTTGCATTACTTCTGAGGCTCTAGGAGGAATTCTGTCCTTTGCCTTTTTTAGGTTTCTAAAAGCTGACCAAATTTTTTGCCTTGTGGCTGCATCAATCTAACTTCTATTTTTATTGTCACATCTTCTTCTATAACTCTGACCCTCATCTTGTTATAAGGACCCTGTGATTACACTGACCCCACATGAGTGTCCCAGGAAAATCTCCCCACCTCAAGATACTTAATCACATTTGAAAAGCCCCTTGTGCCATGTGAAGTTCAATACTTACATTTAGGATGTAGGCATTTATTTAATTTTTAATTTTTATTTCATTTTATTTTTTTGCGGAAAGAGAATAGGCATTATTTGGCCTACCACAAGTCTATACATCATTTCATTTTGAGAATGTTCAAATGTGTATAGTATATAACAGAAGCACAATTAGACTAAGTTTGATGCACTGTAGTCCAACATCACAGGTGAATAGGTCAAATGCATTATAAATAAAATATTCCAAGATGTAACTGATCTCCCAGAGAAGCAATTCATTTAACAATGAGCTTGGCAACAGTTAATTAATCTTTAAATGCTCAATGACACATGAATTAATTACCTTATTCAATGACAATATAGATTATAATTAGCATAAATAAAATACAAAATTGAAAATTATATTTTTGTTTTTCTCTATATTTTTACTATATTTAAATAGCTATTTTTGATAACAAAAGCTGTGGACAATTTAGAATTTTTAGTGAAATCATTTGTTATTTCAATTTTCAGACATTCACTGTTATACATTGTTCTTTGTTTTCCAGTGTGTGTGTTCATTTCTTTTCTTTCTTCCTTCTTTTTCTTTTCTGCACACAATATGTGTTTGTATATTTATTCATTTTAGCATAAATAAAATACAAAATTGAAAATTATATTTTTGTTTTTCTCTATATTTTTACTATATTTAAATAGCTATTTTTGATAACAAAAGCTGTGGACAATTTAGAATTTTTAGTGAAATCATTTGTTATTTCAATTTTCAGACATTCACTGTTATACATTGTTCTTTGTTTTCCAGTGTGTGTGTTCATTTCTTTTCTTTCTTCCTTCTTTTTCTTTTCTGCACACAATATGTGTTTGTATATTTATTCATTTATCTTAAAACAAGATTGTAATCATACAGGTTATAAGCTACTTTCTAACAAATAAAATGAGAGAATGTTCCTATTTCATTATTCCCTAAAATTTAATCTTATTTGAATTATCAGTAATAACAGATTATTTTATATTTTAATACTTTTTAAACTTTTTATACTATGAATCAAGCACTATGATAATTTTCCTAAACACTGTGCTAGCAGATGTTGGAAACCATAGTCACATTCTCCTTCCCTATTCCAAACTTTCTTTTTCACTGGCAATACTCAAATGTTGCTTGAGTATCCATTCTCTACACAACTACATATTCAGGATAAATGTTTTCTTCTCCAGTTCCAGGGAATAAATTACATAAGTGAAATGCAATTATGGTGATCTATTTCTCTTCCCAGTGATTGATTTAATCACATAACCCAATTTTGTCCAGTGAGACCTAAGGAGAAGCCTCTTGTAAAGCCTTTATAAAAGGTTGTTCTTACTACCGTTGCTCCTTGATTCTCTCTGGTAGAGCTATATTGGTATTCTTGCTGTGTAGATTATGCCACAATGCTGTGAAAATAGTGTTTAGGAAAGTCTCCAAATCCATAACAAACAAGTAAAAATAAATGGCTTAGATACAAAATAGTACATAACAGTATTATTTCCTTTATGTAATGTTTAAGAATAAGCAAAACTAATCAATGGAGATTGAAGTCAGAATAGTGGTTGCCATTGGGAAAAAATGACTGAGAAGGGACCCGGGAGAATTTTCTGGAGTGTCAGAAATGCTCTGTATCTTGAAACCAACGGTATGGAACTATATAGACATATGTAAAAGTGTCTGTTTAGAAGTAGTACATTTAAACTATTTTATTGTTTATAGTTTATTCTTCATTAAAAAATTTGAAAACAATGAATAACTTTTTTATATATTAGCTATGGTCACTTGGGAAAAACAACAATAACATGGAAATGATTGTTCTAATTCATAACAGAAAACAAAGAAAAAATATTCTAATAGATGAACTTAACCAAAAATATACAAACCCTTTCAGAAGAAAACTTCAAAACAAGAAATAAGTTAGGTATCATGAAGAGGCAATTAACCCAACAAGAATTACAAATGACCAATGAGTAGATGAACAAATGTTCAACATCAGTAGTAATAAAAGGAATGCAAATTAGAGTAACACTTTTAATTTTTAATTTTTCATATTGTTAAATTTTAGTGAGTTTTTGAAGTGATACCAAGGGTTGCCAGATTTCAAGAAGGAATATACTTAAGCATTATAGTATTAATGTATGAATGTATAAATCAAATGTATAATGTATAAATCAAGTCTTCCTTTCTGGTTGATGATTTCAACAATATGAATTGAGAACTTTAGAACATATTACAGTGAGGTTATATATCTAGTTACCCTACACTGTTTATATTATTTATTTGCATAGCTGACCCTGGTATTCTTTAAAAGAACTCATCCCAACTTAACCTTCACTAGCTAAGAAGGAAAATAAAAACTCAAGTTATTCTGATATGGGATACTCATTTTGATCTAAAATTTTAAAAGTCTTTTTACGCAATTAGCCTTTTGTGTTACCAAACTTTTCAGATGTCTTTTCATTTCCCCTTCTCTTTATGATAGTGACCAACATAGAAGGTTTACATTACCTTGGCTCTTTGGTACAGGCAACCTTTAGCTCTATGGTAGGCTTTTGGTGTGTACTGGTTATTTGTCGAGGTGTGGTTTGTCCAATTCCTTTGTTGGGCATTCTGATGAGATCCAAAGCTGGATTCTATTGCTGGTATAACTCACAGTTTGTTTCCTTTTTACTTAGACTGAATCTTGTAGTTCTTCTTCCTGACTTGGCCATACCTTCCCTCTGGTGGTTTTGGGAATTTCCAGCAGTCTGGATGTGCATCTCATTTGGTTTGCAGCTCAGTTTTTCAATATAATTTATTGTCGCTGCCATCTGGCTTGCTCACCAAGGAGATACTCAGCCTTTGGACATGAAGGAGTTTCTGTGTCTCTTTTCCATTACATCGGACTTAGACAGTTTGAGAACATAAATCCAGGCTCTCTCTGTGTCATCATTTTTATGTGGATACAGTTACCCTATGAAAGGGGAACTTGTAAGGTGTTTTCTTCTCAGAGTTCTGAAAAGGAAGCAAGGAAAAAGCTTCTCCACTGATCTCAGTCATCTCCTTTATCTTTTAAAAATCCTCTTCTGGCATTTCTCTTTCCTATAACGCACTGTACCAGAAAGTGAGGGCTTTTCTCTCACCTGTGTGACTGAGACATACCTTACATTTCCCATTTTCCTTTCTGACCCTATTCTTAGCCTTAACAGTAGATAAGATGAAGGGAGAGAAGTTGTTTTAGTAGTTGGAGAGCAAAAAAAAATAGGAGTTCCTTTAGAATATTATTACTTTTAGAGTATTCATGAAAAAAACCTAGTGATTCTATTTCTACTAATTACTTCTAAAGAAAAATTGATATAGTATAAAAGATTTATAAAAATTATATTCATCATTATATTACCTATAAAACAATGTGAAAAACAACAGTACAGCAGTTAAATAAATGATGATAATATATACAGTATTATATTCATCATTGCAAAACAGAAGACATTGGCATAATGGCTGAGAGCATAAGATTTAGAGGTAAGGACACCTATGTTTGAATCCTGGTTACAAAATTTTGAGCTAAGTAACTTAAGGCATGTCAGTATTCTCTTTTCCTTTTTTTTTTTTTTTTTTTTTTTTGAAATGGAGGCTCACTCTTATCATCCAGGCTGGAGTGCAATGTCGCAATCTTAGCTCACTGCAACTTTCTCCTCTCGGGTTCAAGCAATTCTCCTGCCTCAGCCTCCTGAGTAGCTGGGATTACAGGCACCCACCACCATGCCCGGCTAATTTTTGTGTTTTTGGTAGAGATGGGGTTTCACCATGTTGGCCAGGCTGGTCTCGAACTCCTGACCTCAAGTTATTTGCCTGCCTCAGCCTCCCAAAGTACTGGGATTACAGGTGTGAGCCACAGCGCCCAGCCAGTATTCTCTCAAATACTAAATTTACTGTTGGTGCAGTGGTGTTAATAACTACTTCTCATTATTTCTATTTGGGATAATGTAATAATGTATATGTGTCTGGTAGAATACTATCAATGAAAAGTAAAAGAAGACTCATTAAAAGTAATCTAATTATTGTGGGATTTATTAGCTCACAGAAGTCCCGAATTAGAATGGCACTAAATTTGGTTAAATTAGCAACTCAAAAATATTGTCAGAAACCAGTTTTCTTTTCACTTTTTTGCTGTGCCATATTCAGTGTAAAAATAATATTTCATCTTGTGGTTGCAGGATAGCCTCTGGAGATCCAGACATCACATGCTAGCATGACCATGTCTAGTGAAAGAAAAGATGCATTTCCTCTCATGGAAGTTTTGCCTTCTGATAAATGCTGAACATGCTTTTGTAAATAGTTCTATAGTCTTTCATCACATTGCAGCTCAGAAAATAATACCCCAAAATAAAAGTCTCAGAAGGAAAAGTTTTTTCTCTTACCTTCTGCCTTTCTGTCTCTCAGTCCTGTTCTCTTCAGAGGCTAACCATAGAAACTAGAATTTCTCTTCCCCAAGGTGGGTCTTAGAAACAAGAATTTCCTTTCCCCAGTGTCGGCCACAAAACCTGAAAATATGACTCTGATGTCCCTTTGCCTTATTTGTGTAAAAATTGGCCATAAAGAAATTATCTGACCTGCCTTATATGGATGTAGCTAGTAAGACTCTCATTCCAGAGAGGGTCCTGCTACACACATAGAAGGAAGAAATGCATGCTTGGAGAAGCCAAAAGGAATGGTCTCAAATTCCTGGCCTTAAGTGATTCTCCTGCTCTGGCCTCCCGAAGTCCTGGGATTACAGGAGTGAGCCACCATGCTCGGCCCACAGTGAGGGTTTTGAACACTAGAGTGAAATAGTCAATTTATGTTGAAATATCCATCAATTCCTAATTTATATGCATGTATTATAAAGGAGTGCTTGTTGAATCTTTGAAATACCCACTGGGCTGCCAGTCATGGTGACTTATGCCTGTAATTCGAGTGCTTTGGGAGGTTAAGGTGGGAGGATTCCTTGAGGCCAGAAGTTTGAGACCAGCCTGGGCAATATAGCGAGATTCCCACTTCTACAAAAAAATTTTAAGAATTAGCTGGGCATAATGGCATGTGTCTGTAGTCCTAGCTACTCAGGGGGTTGAGGTGGAAGGATACCTGGAGTCCAAGAGTTCAGGGTTACAGTGAACTGTGATCGCACCACTACACTCCAACCTGGGTAACAGAGCAAGACCCGGTCTCCGAAAAAGACAGAAACAAACAAATACCTACTGTGCATGAAATTTTTTTTTATGTTTAACATATTCATCAGGAATATCATAGTAATAGATTTTCTAACATTATAATCATGCTTACATTATTTGAATTACATTTTATTTTAGTTTTTCATTTTGAACAGCAGTTTACACTGACAGAAACGGTTGAGCTCTTAAAAGCATCCATTTTTGGTCATGATGTTATTCTTCCAATGCCTTTCTGAATTGGGTTTTGTAATATTTTAATTTAGAACTTGGTATATTTCATTATACATCAATTAATATTTTATTGCACTATGCTTCAAACATTTTTATAAGATTATTTTACTTGTGAGAAATGAATTGGAAAGTTTTTATATTTTTCCATGCTCTAAGAGAGTTTATATAGAATCAAAAGAGTGTTCTTTGAAAGAATTTACATAAAAAGTTTCCTAGCCTTGTTACTTTTAATGTAGTGATTCTTTGATAACTTTTCCCATTTCTTTGACAGCTGTTGATTTGTTCATGTTTTCTATTTTTCCTTGGGTAAAATTGAGTAATTTATATTTTCTACACTATTTTTCATTTTCCCTAAATAATATATTATTAGCAGAGTAGTATAAATTATATTATCATACAATGCATAAAACTTCAGTTTTTTGAAGTAATATACCTTCTGTAATTGCTAATTTTTAAAAACATTAATGTGCATTTTAAAATGTTGGCATCTGAGTTTTCTGAGTTAAAATCCTGTGTCTATGTAACCTATGCTAAATACATTTGATCATTAAAGTCACATTGTGTATACTAGGAAAGTTGTCTTTAATGCTTGATTTTAAGTCTACATAACACAGTTCTAACTGAAGAATTTTACAGAGATGTTAATATATCTCCTTATAATGTCCAAAATCATCATCAAAGTTTAAGCTATACAAAATTTATTGTACATTTCAAAGATCCTTAACACTATATTATACTATCTGATTTGAATATATATTTGAGAACAACTATACAAGGGAATAGTAAGTTCACTATGATTTTGAGAAAGAAATTTTTCCTTTCTGTCATTTATTTTTAACACACTAGAGAAATTTCATTTCAATATATGTAAATATATATTTTCATATAAATAAACATTATTTTAATGAGAAATAAATTGTATAGTTCTGTGAAATTCAGTGATTTTTCAGGAAATCTAAGAATATACAAGATATCCTTCAGATTTTTAATCAAAGGTGAAAAATCAATGACAACAGAGTAGAGTGCATGTATTTCAGTAATCAGTGACCCTTATAAATGTCACACTTATCATAAATTAAGATTTCTATATGATGATAAATTAATATCACATGGATTCCAAAGAATATTTATGTATATTTAACAGCAAGCATGCAAAAATATTCACATTATATATTGACATAGGGGAAGAGTCATGAGTTTTCAGTGTATTTCCCTTGAGTCCTTTTGCTGTTGTTTTTAGACAAATAAGAAGTCTCAAATGGATGAATCTGATTGCGTTATCTTCCAGTAGCTAAAAATATGCTCCCTGTCTGTTGAGAAAACAGTCGGTGATTTAAGGCCCTAACCACAGAGGAAAACAAATTTTGTACCCATTTATCTTAAGACTAATTTCAAGAAATGATCATTGTGTATGTATGTGTATGTGAGTATGTGTGTTATCTATTTTCGGATGTATAAATTATTTATTTAGAATTTATATATATATACATATAATCTCCACACATGGTGGCTCATGCCTGTAATCTCAGCACTTTGGGAGGCCAAGGCAAGAGGATTGCTTTTGCTCAAGAGTTCAAGACCAGCCTGGGCAACATAGCGAGATCTCATTTCTACTAAAGAAAAAAATAATAATACAATAAAATTATATACATATACATTTCTCTAAGGATGAAAACTTGTTCATGTTGCCATATTGTCATAGTAATTCATATTGAACTTGAGTATGCATTTGTGTTTCACCTTCCTCAAAAACTAGATATTAGAAATAATTTGTCATTCTGTCCTGATGATTCTTTCAAATAAATCAGTTACTGGATTAAGATACCTATCTCAATTTTCAATGTATAGCTTTGTTGGATTAACAATTTTTTGTTTTTCTTTGTTTTCATCCTATCTAGACATACCCAAAATGTGTAAACCTAATTTCCCAAACTGGCCAAGTATACTCTAAAGCAGAGGATTCACAGAGGAGCACAGTCTGCACACTGTGGATTCGTAAGAGAGTCACCGATTTGCAAGTAAGAGAGACATTCTTTATAGACTTAATAAATGTCACACACACACACACACACACACACACACGGGCACAAGCACACACATTCTTTTTCCTCAAACCATGCAAATGCTATGGTTGGCAATATATTAAGGTGCTATTAAATTCATTGTAAATGTTACAAAATGTTTTGTCAATTTTTTGAAAACAATCTTGAAACATAAGCTCTTTACTCTCAACCATCCTCATCCACCTCAGCAAACCTGAAGATTAGGAATGGTGTATGTCGCAGGGTTGAGGCAGGATAAGACAGGGCACCAAATAGGACGCCATTGCAATAAATGGTCTAAAACCTCAACAGCAGGAGGAATTTAGCAATGTAATTCTTTACTCTGATCAGGCAGGATATTAAAACTCTACTAATATGAGAAATGAAGGGGAGTGGGCTCTTAATTTCCTATTGATACTCTTTCATATGGATTGACACTTATCTACAGATGCCTACTAGCCTTTGAGTCTTGGCAGGCTCTAGGCCCCAAATGTAGGTACTCTTTAAGGCCTATCACAGCCTATTTTTGGCCAGCCAATCAAATAAACTAATTTATTTTAATAGGATATCAAAATATTAACATACTAACTTAAATTTGATTATCTAAACCAAAGGACTATCCAAGAGTTGGAATTTTGGTGGATGTCATGGCAGGCTTTTTTGGGAATCAGACCTAGGGATTTTTAGTAATTCTCAGTAACATCATAAAGTCAACCCTTCAATAATGCTAGAATCTGTTTGACACGTTTTCTTTTCCATTTCTATTGTTTTAAATTTAACATAACATTCTGCCATTATAATTGAGATAGAGAGTACATATGACAGAAGATACTAAGCTAAAACCTTAGCTGAATGTAGAGTTAGGTTTAGAGTACAGCTTTATCTCGTGAATTGTTTTATGTGATAAATGCACACATATTTGAATTCAAATTCCAAAGAAATGCTATAATGTCCTAAAATGTTTTAACGTCATAATTATAGACCAAAATGAAACAGCTCTAATTAAATATGTTGCTTATATATTGAAATATTTTAATTTAAGAAATAGTAGCTGAATTATATTTTGAGCAGTAATTTGAAACCACCATTTTTAAATGAAGGAATGCTTTTTAAGGACTCATTTTATTTCCAGGTTTTTAATAGTGTTGAGAATTTTTCTCAACATTAATAAAATAATCAAATTAAATGTTGGAGCCTGTAAATTTTAAACAGTAAAATTGCAAGTAAAAAGCAATATAATTATACAACTTGTCCCAGATGTACAAGTCAAATGCAGTTATGGATTTTTATGTCATAGTGTAAAATAATGTTCTTCTATTTCCTTTTTAAAAATAGATTTTCTAATGGCTAAAGCTTATCCAGCAACCTGCTATTATATTTCTAAATCCATTTTCTTTAACGCGTAGTAATCCAATTTTTGCATAACATTCCAAATACAAAATGGAATCCTTGCAACTCCAAAATTTACAATTAAAAAAGATAGATGAAAGCTAGCATCTCTCTAATTTTCAAACCAACACAGACACAGTAAAATTCATGTGTATTTAGTGATTGAACAATTATGCTGAAAACAATGCTGACATTAAAAGTCTGAATTTCTAAATAGTTTCAGGATTAATCAGTAACATAGCCTTAAAATGAAATAAGCTTTTCATGTTTCCCAAAAGATTCTTCTGTGTAACACTGTGACTTTTTTTGATAGCTCTTGTCATTTAAACAACTATACAATGTGAGAGGTTCACTTTTACTCATGCTTTAGTAACATTGCAAACAATTACATTCTTAGATATTCTAGTTGTTCTACACCAATAATAGCTGTAAACCAAAAATAAAATTCTGAGAACTCAACCAATTGAATGGACTCCTCCTTTTGGACAAGAATATTCCTGAATTAACCTAAAAAACTAGTTCAGGATATGATGAGAAGTGGGGGTTGGTCATCAGTTATGATGAGAAGTGGGGGTTGGGGGCCTCATACTCTTCGCCTTTTGAAATTGAGACAGAGCGGAACAGCATTTAACATTAAAACAGAGGCCTTAAGACTAACAAAACAGTCTTACAGATTCTTTGCAACCAGAAAATAACATAACAGGTAGCAGGCCCTAAAATAAATCAAAGTGTTTTATTCCAAAATACACGTTTTTGACATGTTTTAAGTGGCCCTGCAAAGCTGTCCCTTGTGGGCAAAATCTATATTCTGTAGAGAATCCTTTTCCCTTTTCATGTCTTTTTCCTAATCCAGGAGAAAATTAACTAAGAATCTGGCCCTCTTAATGTCTAAGAAAAAGCATTTACAATCTATTCTCTCTGAAGCCTACTACCTGGAGGTTTCATGTGTATAATAAAAACCTTGGTCTCCACATACCCTAATCTTAACTAAGACACTCCCTTCTATTAATTCCAAGTCTTTAGATAAACTCTTTCAATGAATTGCTGATCAAAACAAATCTTTAAATCCACCTATGACTTGGAAACACCTTCCACCCCACGCTTTGCCTTGTCCTGTCTTTTGAGACCAAACTAAGGTACATGTTACGTGTATTGATTGATGTCTTACATCTCCCTAAAACATATAAAATCAAACTGTAGCCCAACCACCTCAGATACACATTCTCAGTACCTCCCGAGACTGTGTCACTGACATGTCCTTAACCCTGGCAAATAAACTTCTAAATTAATTGAGACTTGTCTCAAATCGTTTTTGGTTTACATAGCCTACGAGCAAACTTAGAGCTACAATGGTTGTTTGGAGCCAGTTAGAAAATATAGAATCTATTATTGACAGAAATAGTCATTCCTCCTTGGGAATAAAAGTGGCCATTTCTTTTCTACTATTTATATGACCCTATTTATGACATCATGTGTAGGCAGTTTTTCAATTATTGACTTGTTCCTAACACTGGAGATGAGAAGGTGACTCTGGTCAGATCAAGAATATCTGGTAAACAATGACTATTTTTGAACTAAAGTTATTGCTATGCAGTATGGTAATTTCAATGCTGATTGAGAGTCTCAGGGCATAAATTAAAAGTGCTGCTGTTTAAGAGAATGTCAGATCAGGAATATCAAAGGAATCCTGTTTCTTGTTTCTTGTCTTAATAGAAGATTTCTGAAATCATTCCTAAACATAGATTCCATCCACTTTGACCATGTAAATGATTTGCTTGGAGTGGTGTGGTTGATTTCACCAACTAAACTCAAAATGATAGTTTCTCACTATTGATCCATTTTGTTTAATCTCATATTTTAAGGAAATACATTTTGGGTAGTTTTTATACAAGCAAGAGTAAAACACACATACATTCGAGAGCATCACACACACATACACCTGCCAGGTTTGCATTTTATACACAGAGGGACATTGTAGGGGAAGAAAAAATAATTTTTCTTCTATCTTTCTAAGTTTTCAACAGTACCCCCGTAACAAAATACTTATTAATATTAACAAGACAAAAACACAAGTTTATTGATATGTATATTGTAGTGGCACTGGGTAAAATAATTTACCAGGACAGTTGTAGGTAAAGGAAGACAATTATTAAAGAAAGTAGGGAAATATGTTGCTGGAGAGACAATGGGCAGTCTGCCTGAAGGAGCCAAGGGGATTTTATTGGCTTTATAAGTTAACTTGATCCCTTAAAGCAGTTTGTAAGTATACCATTCCAGTTAAGGCTTTGGTAAAATAACCAGTGTTTCCAATTGTGTCCTGTTACAAAAGAAAGGAGATTCTTAATGAACTTCTGCACATAACTATACTGCCATAAATTAAGTATACTTGCAAATAGTTTTTAAATTCTGGAGAAATTAGGTCTCCCAGAGCATTCAGGGATCAGAATTTTTAAGGATAATTTTGCAGGTAGGGGTTCAGGAAGTGGGGAGCTCTGAATGGTTGGGTTGGAGATGGAATCACAGGAAGTCAAAGTGAGGTTTTCTTGCTGTCTTCTATTACTGGGTGGGATCGCAGAACTGATTGAACTAGATTACTGTTCTGTGGGGTGTCAACTGGGGTATCAGAATGCAGGGTGTGCAAAATATCTCATGCGCTGATCATATGCTTCACAACAGTGGTGTTATTCTCAGGAGCAATTTGGGGAGATACAGATGCTTGCAGCCAGAGCTGTGTGGCCCCTAAACTGTAATTTCTAATCTTGTAGCTAATTTGTTAGTCCTACAAATGCATACTGGTCCCAAGGCAAGAAGGTTTTGTTTTGTTTTGTTTTGTTTTGTTTTTGTTTTCGGGAAAGGGCTATTATCAATTTGATTTCAGAGTTAAACTATTAACTAAATTCTTTCCCATGGTTAGTTTGGCCTATGCTTAGGAATGAACAAAGACAGCTTAAAGGTTAGAAGCAAGATGGAGTTGGTTAGGTCTAATCCCTTTCACTGTCATAATTTCCTCAGTTATAATTATTGCAAAATGGGTTTCATAAATAGGTTAGAAGAATAAAGTCTTTCTGGACTCTGAAAACAAACAAATTAATAATATTTTACACAAAAAGCCATAAAAATTATTTGGGTTTTTCATTAGTTAACTTTATAAAATATAATTAACTCCTACTTTGCCTAATATTTACGAACACATTAGCTCTAATATTTATGAACACATTAGTAGTTTTTTTTTGTGTTTTTCTTTTCAATTTGATGTTACAATCTTTAAAGTTGTTAGAAACCCATTTAAGAGCACCTGTTGTAGTTCTATAGCTGATTATAAAACCAACCTGAATATAATTAAGGTAAAACAATTGGGAGTGACAAAAGTTTTAAAACAATTTAGAAGTCTTACAACAATTGTGAGTGACAAAAGTTTCAGAACAGCCACAGTTAATATTTGGTTATTTTTGTGACACTAATTTAACAAAATAATTATAATTATTACTGATAACATATACTGAGAAATATTACAGGAATTTTATACAATTTTGGAACACACACCAATAGCCCATAATATAAATGCAGTTTAAAGAATGCTAAACACCACTTTATATTTGACAGTACATCCTGTGTGATTTTAATATGCCAAATAAGCTAAATATGTTATTTTCTGGACTTTAGAGTATTTAATACTTGAAAACCTAAATAATTCCTTTTTCATTTTAGCCAACCAGAGAACTTTTTACAAGATTAACCCTTTTACCAGGAAACACATTTAAGTTCTCTTTTATACCTGATATGGTTAGGCTTTGTGTCCCCACCTAAATCTCATCTTGAATTGTAATCCCATGTGTTGAGGGAGGGAAGTGATTGAATCATAGGGGCAGTTCCTCCCATGCTGTTCTTCTGATAGTGAGTGAATTCTCATGAGACCTGACAGTTTCATAAATGGTAGTTTTTCCATCTCTCTCACATGCTCTCTTTTGCCTGCTACCATGTAAGATGTGCCTCTTCCCCTTCCGCCATGATTATAAGTTTCCTGAGGCCTCCCCAGCTATGTGGAACTGTGAGTCAATTAAACTGCTTTTGTTTATAAATTACCTAGTCTCGGGTATGTCTTTACAGCCATGTGAAAATGGACTAATACTATACCTTGCATGTAAAACTGTTTCTCCAATAGTCTTAAGCACATTACAGTGTTAACTCTTAGCAACTTTTATTTTTGATAAAAAACCTAGTAAGCAAGCAATTTTAAAGATGTATAAGATTGCAGAGACCATAACTTTCTCCGGCCTAGCCAGGGGACCTGGCTAACACTGTATGCTCTCAGGCCTTACCTTGAATTTAGTGGCTGTAAAACAGACAAGTTAAGCAATTACTGAAAGTTATAGAAGCAGTTTATGGCCTTAAAACATTTACCAAACAGTATGGTAAATGGGTGCCTAGTTTAGACCAAATGTATAAACTTGTAAGACATTTTTTTTTTACCAGTGATCTTTTTAACTGTTTTTAGTTTTTTAAAGATTATAGTCCTGTGACCTAAATGCATTAAAGTTTTTATTTCTTTTTCTTGAAAATGTTTGATTCGAGTGCTTACTTTTCATTTAAGCCAATTAATTAGAGTTCATTTATAAAAACATCACACATACAATACAAATAATAGACAGATACAGAGAATTAAGACAGAATTCCAATGGCTGAGATATTTTTTGAGGTCAGTAAACCTAAACAAAAATATATATTGACAGATTTTAAAACATTTTTGAAATAATTTTACCAATAATTTTAAAGCTGGCTTATTTGGTAAAGGTTCATGTGAACTTGAAAAGCATTTGAGTACTCATTTACTTATATTCCAATTTGGTAGCATGCTAAATAAAAAAAATACAGAATATTACATGTATATTACATAGACATATTTAAACATATATACATACATACACAAGGATTCAATAGCTTTTACCTCAGAACTTTATCCATGAGACAGCATTATAAACTTACCAACCTATAAAACTTAAGTTTTTTTTCAGATAAAATGGGAACCTGTTCACATGGCTAAAACTTTGCAATCCAAGGAAAGCTGCAAAGCAAAATTTGGGTAAAGTAGTCTTTTTGGCAACTTGGTTTAACAAAACCTATTTTACTCTTTAACTTTAAATGGATTTTTAATGTTTACACTTTAGTTACGCCATAAATGATGAGTCTCATTTCAGCAGCAGTAACTTAGTAAACGCAGATTTAAAGCAAGGAGAGGTTTTTTTTTTTTTTTTTTTGAGATGAAGTCTCACTCTTGTCCCCCAGGCTGGAGTGCAATGGTACAATCTCGGCTCACTGCAACCTCCGCCTCCAGGGTTCAAGTGATTCTCCTGCCTCAGCCTCCTGAGTAGCTGGGATTACAGGTGTCCACCACCACACCCAGCTAATTTTTGTATTTTTGGTAGAGACGGGGTTTCACCATGTTGGCCAGGCTGGTCTCAAACTCCTAACCTCTGGTGATCCACCCGCCTCGGCCTCCCAAAGTGCTAGGATTACAGGCGTGAGCCATGGTGCCCGGCCAGCTGGGAAATTTTTTTTTTTTTTTAAAGAGGAAGATAGAAAGCTTTAGAAAACTATACTTAACTTTATAGTGTAAGTTAACCATTTGAACTTCAAATTTTTCTTGTTGTAATTTGACAATTGGTTTAAAATGTGCACAAAACAGGCCATAATATGTAACTAGCTTGAGTTTTAAACAGAATGATAAAATTAGGGGTTAGGATGTTAGAGACTGTTTTTTTGTTTGTTTGTTTGTTTTGTTTTGTTTTCCCCTTTTACATCTGGATTTTTAGATTGAACAGAAAATGAGAAAAAATAAAAGAAAGGAGAGGAGAAGAAAGGGTTAACTTTTACTGGCAGACTGGTGAGCCTTTCAGCCACTGCAGAGTGCAGGGTTAGCATCTTTGCTACTTTTGTTTATCTCCTGTTAGGGAGAGCCTTAGCATTCTAGATTTACATGGTGTAAATTTTACACCAGTAAATTTACCAGTTAAGGTGATTTACCAGTTAAGGTGAGCTGTTTTAACCAGAGTAAAGTGCTCCTTTAGCTTAAGGCCATTAGGGATTGGGGTTTTGTCCCGTGGGCCCTTTAACTTTCAGGGTAGTTCCATTTCCTCTGGTTGAGCTTGTGGCAGAGAAGGCAAGCCATCTTGCAAAGAAAAATCAGATGTTTCCTTGTGAGGGTTTGGGAGTCAAATTTGCTTCAATTCTTTAAAATATAGCCTAGAGGTGAGTCTGAAGGATTGAATGGGGCTTGCCCCATGTTGGGACTGGAAAATGCACCGCTAGTAGCTAATGAACTGCATTTTCAGGGTGTCTGCTAAGATAAAAAGGGTTTCATATCTGTCTGCTAGGAAACTTAGGGTGCACTTTCTAAAGGGCCATCCCACCTATTAGAAAAGACTACCTGGCCATTTGTGGGCTTTACGCTGGGTGGCCAGCCCAGGAACGCACTTACACTGAGTGATCAGTCCAGGTATGTGGAAAAAAGGGCAAAGAAATATTTGTGCCCTGTGCCAGCCCATGAGAGGGGTGAGGAGGAAACTCAACATTCTGAGGCTGTTCGAGATCATCTAATTCGGCAATGTCCGAAACAGATCGCTAGCTGACTCTATAGGAGAATTTAGAATGAGAAAGTGAAGGTTTAAGTCACCTGAAGTGTGTGTGAATTTGCCCTGAACAAGCTTCCACCGCTAATTGCATTACATGTAGGAATCATGGACAATAACAAGAAAAGACAGGAGAGAATTTCTCCCCCTTCCGACAGGGCAGCTATCTCTGTCCACTCTTTGGCCTTCAGGCAACACCTGAGAGTGGCCCCAGCCAGTTGGGCCAGTTACCCTCAGTTACCAAAGAGCTACTAGGAAACGGCCACTGAAATACTGAAGAAAGAAAAAGGACTCAGGTTCCTCACCCAAACTGGGTGGTGGTGGTGGCCAGGCATTTCCACATGGACACATTTCAGTCCCACTGGAGTGTATCCTGTCTCTAACAGTCTCTAACATCTTAACCCCTAACTTTATGCCAGAGACTCACAATTGCCTCTGTGCTTATGAAACCACCTTTGCAAAAATTATAAGTGAGACAATTATTACAGTGAAAGAGATCTGAGCTAACTGACTCCATCTTGCTTCTAACCTCCAAGCTGTCTGTGTTTAGTCCTGGGCGTAGGCTGAACTAACTCTGGGAGGAACTTAGTTTATGGTTTATCTTTGAAACAAAGATGATAACAGCCCTTTTCCAAAACAAAATCCTGTCTGGGGACTAGACTGCCTTTGCAGGACTAACAAATTAGCTAGAAGCTTAGAAATTATGGTTTAAGAGTCATGGAGCTGGAACCTGCAAGACTCTAAACTTCCCCAAATTGCTCCTGGAAATAACATCACTGTTGTAATATGTAGGATCCATGCTTGAGATATTTTGCAGACCCTGCATTCTGATGTATCAGCTGACACAGCCCAGACCAGTAATCTGGCTCAACCAGTTCTGTGATCCCACGCAGGAACAGAAGACATGGAGAAAAACTCACTTCAACCCCCTATAATTCCATTCCCAACCCGACCAACAAATCAGCACTCCCCACTTCCTGAGCCCCTACTTGCCAAATTATCCTTAAAAACTCCAATCTCCAAATGTTCAGGGAGACTGAGTTCAGTAAGAATAAAATTCCAATCTCCTGTACAGCCAACTCTGTGTGAATTACTCTTTCTTTATTGCAATTCCCCTGTCTTGATAAATCCGCTTACTCTAGGCAGTGGAGAAGGTGAACCCGCTGGGAGGTTACGCTTAGATACTGTCAGCCAAGGGTCTCAAGTTGGGAAAAGGAAAGATACAGGGAAAAGATTTCCCCATGAGAAGAGAGAGTGTTCCCCCATATGGAGCAGAGGGAGCCCCACATAGAGATAGGTTCCTATACAGGTCACCAAATGTTGTGGGTGAACGATGGCCAGTGGCACAGGGGTAAAAAAATTTACCAAGACAGTTGTAGGTAAAGGAAGGCAGATTTTTTTAAAAAGAAAGTAGTAAAATACATTGCCAGAGAGACAATGGGCAGTCTGCATGAGAGAAGCCGACAGCAAATAAACGAAGGCTTGCTGAAGATTTTATACAATGGGATTTGGGCTGATTGATAATGCAAAGTTAGCAGGGGGGTTAACTTGCATTCTTCTGTTAGTGGAGGTGTTTGAACTGACGTGTTTGATGGTATGCAGGAAGTTTGTGAGTTGTGTATGTTGTCTGGTCAGGAAGGCCAAATGTATCCTGGACCACTAAAAAAAAAAAAAAAAAAAACACACACACACACACACAGCAGATCTACAGTTTATCTGCTTCCTCTATTTGTTTGGATGCCCTGGACCATGAAAGAAAGCATACTTAAAGCTTATTTGCTCTGTTTGTTTCCCCCTGGTCTTGTCAGCCTGACTCCTTTTCCCTAATTAGGACTCCACATATATCTCATATATAAATGTGAGAAAACTCAGCAAAAGAGAAACTCCCAAAGATGTGGCATAGAATTCAGGTTTAAATGTCATTTTCAGGTAAAAGCAAAGAAAGAAGACTGTGAGGGAGATTATTTATGGAAATGTGACCAGAAAAAGCACAGTAAACAAGGTTGGTATTGCAGATTTAAATTTGTGCCTTTTCAAATGATAAGATTCCATTGTGATTTAGAGTCATCCTTCTTTTTCTAATACAGAGAGAAATACACACCTACAAATGGAGATTTCCTTTATAAATGTAAATTTACATTACAAAACGTGGCTTGTACTTTGTTTACAGAGCTATTCCTATCTTTTATCTTTCTCAAAATAATCAGCACATAATCCTATGCTAAAGAGACATATTTTGATGTGATATATTCCAGTCTTCTACAGTCACATTTTGGAATGGCATATTCTGGTCTCTTATAATATGTAGATTTCAAATGTTGGAGTTATTTTAAAGAAATTGTGTCTGTTATTTCTGAATTGAATAACTCAGAATATGTATAGTTTAAAAACATCTAAACGTTTAGAATTTGAAGGCAAGCTAACAGAAAAGAAAGAGCACTAAACTGGGAGCTAGAAAACCTTGTAAACCTGTAATAGTCAATCTCCCTGTGTTTTGGTTTCTCATATTAAAAATAAGAAGGTTGAACTACATTATCGTGGTTTGAAAAGTTTCTTTATTGATCTATTATCTGCAATTTTGTAATTTTATTTTCTTTTTCTCAGTAATTACTATCATTTTTTAAAATATATAAGATGCTTATAGGTCTTTAAATAATATATTAGTATTTATAAAAACACTTGACTATTACAAATGTTTTGTATCTGCAAAACTTAGTATTGTTTAAGAATGGAAGCAAAGTTGGTTATTTTGTCTGTTAACCCAAAATATCTAAGACAGGACTCAGTCAATTTAAAAAGTTTATTTTGCCAAGGATAAGAATGCACCTGTGACAGAGCCTCAGGGGGCCCTGATGATATGTGCCCAAGGTGGTCTGGGCACAGCTTCATTTTATACATTTTAGGGAGACATGAGACATCAATTAATATATTTAAGATGTACATTGGATTCATCTGGAAAGGTGGGACAACTCAAAGTGGGGAGGGGTCTTCCAGGTCATAGGTAGATAAGAGACAAATGGTTACATTCTTTTGAGTTGCTGATTGGCCTCTCCAAAGGAAGCAATCAGATGTGCATTTATCTCAGTAAGCAGAGGAATGACTTTTAATAGAATGGGAGGCAGATTTGCCCTAAGCAGCTCCCAGCTTGACTTTTCCCTTTAGCTTAGTGGTGTTGGGGTCTAAAATTTTATTTTCCTTTCACATTTCCCTTCTTTTCTTTTTAAAATCTTTCAGAAAAAGCATTTTAGAAGAAAAAGAGTCTCTGGTCCCAGTTTTCATCTGATTTCTCATGGCTAGGATGGTTTATTCCTAGAAGGGTAGGTCCCATGTTGTTAGGAAAACTCATTTTTAGAAGGTTGTGAAGTCTCACATCCTGTGAAGAGCAAATAGTGGGAGGAAGGTGAAAAACAACAACAAATGAAAATATAAAAATTCTGGAAAATCAATGTAGGCCATATAACTCTGAAGTTCATATATCAGTAGGCAGGTATGAGAGTGGCTTACGTATGTAAACAAGTTGCTTTTATTTTCTTCTGAAGTTTAATTTGCCTAACTTCAGTTTGCAAGGCTTTAAGAAAGCTCAGCTTAGTTTTCAGTGATTTAAAATCAGAAAAAAAATTTAAAAGTAAAAGAAAGAAGGAAAAGAAATGGAAAACATTATACTGGGGACTTGTAACCACAAAAAGTTTCAGAATTTAGTCCAAACTGTAGAAAATAATAAAAATTGAAAAGCCTTATGCAAGACGAGAAGCTAATAACAGGTGTACTATAGTTGATTTTGAAACACAATTTTTCTCTCTCCAGTCCCCATTTTCAGTAAAGACTAATTATAGTACAAATTCATTTGGAAGATAAGTTTTAGTCTTATGATACTTGGCCTGAGTATTTTCATAAAGTGAGAAAAAATAATTATTTGCCATACAGGCTCCTTCTTCTTTTTTTTTTTTTTTTTTTGGCTTTGTTGCAACTTAATTCCATAAAGGATCTCAGATTTGACTTTAATGCCTTAAGCCCATTCTGTGCCTACAAATACCTGTATTAGCTGAGTGAATTCCTCACTTTTAGGGTGCAGGAAAACTTGGGGCTCTTGGGCTTGTTAGAAAGTGACATTCTTTACTTACCATAGGTCAGGAGTCTGTACAGGGCTGCCTAGACAAGGTATTATGCCAGTTTTCCCCAGGGGCTTTTATTGGCTGTATAAGTTAACTTTAATTCCTTAAAGGAGTCTGTATCTGAAAGTACCCCATTCAAGTCAAGACACTGGTAAAATAACCAGTGTTTCCAATTGTGTCCTGTTACAAAAGAAAACAGATTCTTAATGCACTTATGTAAATAACTACATTGCCATAAGTAAAGAATACTCACAACTACTTCTCAAATTTTGTATAAATCAGGTAGAGAGAAATATGTTCCATATTTTGTTTATCTGAGTATAGTTTACCCAATTCTTAAAAGCTGCAAATAGCTCAAAAGAACAGTTTTCTCGGCTCTCAAAAACAAAGGATTAGCAATATTTAAAGCAAAAATTCATAAAAGGATTATGTCAGTCTTCTATAAGTTTAGTCCATGCAGTTAACTCCTGTTCTGCTTGATACTCATCTTTAACTCTCCTTGGGAGTCTTGGAAGTTTTCTCTGTATTCTAGTGTAACAATCTCCATAGTTATCAGAAACCTGCATTTGACAGCATCTGTCAGAATCCTATAGCTGATTATAAAAACATCTTTGGAAAAGGATAAAAGTAAAAAGAACTGTATATGACAAGTTTTAGAACAGGCATAGCTAAAGACACAATTGACAAGGAAATTTGTTTACTTCTATGGCATACACCGATTTTACATAATAATCATAATTACTACTGATAACATACGTTAAGACATATTAGAATCACAGGAATTTCATACAATTCTGGAACACACACTAATAATACATTTATATAAATATAATCCCAAGAAGATTAAACACTGTTTCATATTTGACAATACTTCTTGTATGATAATAAGCCAAATATGTCTCTTTTGGACTTCAGGAAACCAAAATCCAAAAATTAATGAGGACTGAAGTTAGAACTTAATTTTGGAAAGCTTGCTGAACATAAAAAGTTTAAAACACTTTATATTGCCAGAATAGAATCACAGGTCATTGTAAAACAGGTCATTCATTTAGCCAAAGTAATAACCCACAGATTTCAAAAAAGGTGGAAACCTTTATTATTTGAGAGAGGAGACAATTTTCCAAACAATAATCCTTAATAAAGACAGTGTAAGGTCAATTAAATGTGTCTCTCAACATCTTGTAAACAACCTATACAATTTAATCATCTTGACCATACAATATAATTTCTATTAACCTTCTTGTAATCTTTATAATTTTGTATTAAGGAGTGGGTTAATGCTCCAATAAAACCTTGTTAATCGGTCACCGAGGCCCAGATGCTGGTTTTGCATCAGTGTGCCTTTGATATTAATAGTTAATTTCTAGAGAAACTGAACTAATTTTATCTCTTAAAGCCAGCCCTTACAATCTTACATGCCCACCTCTTCCATGATAGTCCTTGGGCTCTGAGGAGTTGAACAGTTTTTTCTTTTTCTTTTTCTTTCTTTTTTTTTTTTTTTTTTTGAGACAGAGTTTTGTTCTTTTCGCCCAGGCTGGAGTGCAATGGCGCGATCTCAGCTCACTGCAACCTCCACCTCCCAGGTTCAAGCAATTCTCCTGCCTCAGCCTCCCAAGTAGCTGGGATTAAAGGCACCCTTCACGATGCCCAGCTAATTTTTGTATTTTTAGTAGAGCCGGGGTTTCACCATGTTGGCCAGGCTGGTCTCAAACTCCTGACCTCAGGTGATCCACCCACCTCGGCCTTCCAAAGTGCTGGGATTACAGGAGTGAGCCACCATTCCCGGCCAAGTCGAACAGTTTTAATGTTTGGCTCTGTGTCTCACAAACACAGTTTATTGTGAATGGCATCTTCTACCAGGTCTGAAGATGAGACTTTAACTGCTGTCAGTGTTTAAGATTTTAGCAGGACTCAGTGTCCTTTTTAGGTCCAAGAGTCAAAGCCCTGTAACTCAATGGCACAAGGACTTTAAAGGCACATACAGAAAGTTACATGGATGTAATAACCTTAGCTTACAAAAAAATTATTCTCAGTTTTTTCTAAGCAAACTAAAGCTTAATAACAATGACATAAGAATTATTTCAATAAAATGTAAAATCTGTTTTTTCAGCCAGTTGCCAAAAGGCAAAAGAAAATAACTTCTGCGGTGCACAGAATACTGTATTGGAAGAAAACATTTCATTTAGACCTTCAAGAAAAACATTCTTAGCATTAGGCCACAACAAACAGCAACTGAGGGTGGGGGGTCGTGGGGGGAACTTGCATAAGCTTGAGAATTAGTTGAGGGAGAGAGTCATTATTTTAGGCCTTTTGAAGTGGGAAAGAAAACTGAAAATGGTGAGACAATTATGTTTTTGGGTTAAAAAGTTAAAATATCTTATAGTTTATTAAGAGTAAATCAATCCCTTAAGAAAATGTCATTGTTCTAACCAATTCTTTAGTGCATAAGCGTTTTTACATCAATAACCCAATCTCTAGAGAGACTATTATAAATTATTTCCCTTTAATTATAGACAACTTGATATGAAATATTTTATGACAGGCTTGGGTTTCTCTTTTAACCTAGGCACCCTCTGTCTTTTCTTTTTTTTATTATTATACTTTAAGTTTTAGGGTACATGTGCACAACGTGCGGGTTTGTTACATATGTATACATGTGCCATGTTGGTGTGCTGCACCCATTAACTCGTCATTTAGCATTAGATATATCTCCTAATGCTATACCTCCCACCCCCCCCACCCCACAACAGTCCCCGGTGTGTGATGTTCCCCTTCCTGTGTCCATGTGTTCTCATTGTTCAATTCCCACCTATGAGTGAGAACATGCGGTGTTTGGTTTTTTGTCCTTGTGATAGTTTGCTGAGAATGATGTTTCCAGCTTCATCCATGTCCCTACAAAGGACATGAACTCATCATTTTTTCTGGCTGCATAGTATTCCATGGTGTATATGTGCACATTTTCTTAATCCAGTCTATCATTGTTGGACATTTGGGTTGGTTCCAAATCTTTGCTACTGTGAATAGTGCTGCAATAAACATATGTGTGCATGTGTCTTTATAGCAGCATGATTTATAATCCTTTGGGTATATACCCAGTAATGGGCACCCTCTGTCTTAAATAACCATTTATTTTATTTTAAGACAAAAATTTATCATACAAGATTCATTCTCATATAAAATTATTTTCCTTTTAATCTTTCTTGCCAAAAATACCTCTTTATAACATTTTTTACGTTGATTTTATTCACTGATTGCCTTTACCTAATTTTATAAAAAACTTTAAAATAACCTTTGAATTAGACAAAAATTAGTTTTAAGTAAAATCCCAGTTCTTTTTTAAAAAATATTTTCCTATTATTTAAAGAAAATTGGAAATGACCTAGACATTTAATGAATAGCTATTATTTTGCTTAATATAACATTAGATTTTATATTATATGACAAGATTACTTTTAAACATTCCATTACATTTACCTAATTTTTTTTAATAGTTTAACCAGATTACTTATGAAAACTGTGATAGTTATTATTTAAAGTTGTTTCCTTGTTAACCACTTTTATAACCTGTGAATTTCAGGTTTTCCTAAGCAAAAATTTTAAGATTAGATAAGTTATTTTTTTTCCAATAAGTCAGAATTTTGTCGTTTTCATTAACTGAACAATATTAAATGTTTTATTTATTAAATTTTACATAAACGAAGATAACTCTCTTTTAAGCTGCATTCATAGCTTTATAACACTCATGCCAAATTTTGACATCTAGCAGAGACAATGTATGTTAACAATTCTCAAGGCATTTTTTATCCTATTTCACCAATATTTTAAAAAATAGCTTATTTATTAAATATTTACTTAAATCACAGGAACGTTAAAAAGCACTTGGCTTAAAGTCTCTATTTTTCTGGTAATGTATTTGATTTAAGCATTTTAGCCAATTAATTAGAGCTATTTTATACATTTTTAGTAGTGAAACATCATATACATGATACATAAATGCATAGATGTATTAGATACATAGATAGAAGTAAATCTTATATATTCATAAGGCCTCTATTTTTTCTTCCTATTTTAGACTTCCAATTTCCTATTTTATTACCCCAGGCAATTGTCAGCTAGAAGGCCCTTCATTTACATATTAAAGGACTCTTAGGTTAAAAAATAGCATAGTGAAATTTACATCTCAAAATACAGAGAGAAAGTCTGGTGATGCTGGAGGGAGATTAAAGATAGATGTCAAATCCAACATAAATTTGTAGAAATCTATCATAGGATTATAAAAGGAGATCAATTTTATTTAGACAGAGTCTACCTACCTTTTAACTGGATTTCTGAGTTCTGAGCAGAGCCCACACTGAATCCTGGGTCTCCAAAAAGGAAGAATTATTATGAGGCTAGACCATGTGATGCTTTTACAGTGCACTTTAGTTTTTTTGTTTGTTTGTTTTTTAACAAAGACATTTTTGTGTCTAAACTACACTCTTCTTTAAAAACTTGTAAGATACAATGAATTTCTTTGAATTTCTCTTCAAAGGTTCAGCCTGTTAACTTCCTTGTTCTTTGTTCTCAAACTCAACTTTCTTGTTCTCCATGCCTCCTTGCCTCTAGTTACTCTAAACAACCTTCCCATCAGTTTTAATCTATAACTCACATCTGTTCCCTTAGTTACCCGCTCTGCACCTATTCTACCCTTCGAAACCACAAGTCCTACCATTGTAACTCACTCACACATCCCCCTTCCCTTCCTGATTTGGGAAAATATTCACAAGTAGCCAGTCGGGTCAGTTTAGATTGTGCAGTCCAACCCCAGCCCATGGGGGAGTGACACAGAGGTAGGGACCCTGCATTAGACATAAAAACCCCTTCCCTCCTTTATTCATCGTCTCTTATTTATCTATGACCTGGAAGCTCCCTCCCCTCTTTGAGTTGTCCTGCCTTTCCAGATTGAACCAATGTACAATTTACATATATTTATTAATGTCTCATGTCTCCCTAAAATGTATAAAATGAAAATGTGCCCTGAGCACCTTGGGCACGTGTCATCAGGACCTCCTGAGGCTGTGTCACAGGTGTGTCCTTAACCTTAGCAAAATAAACTTTCTAAATTGACTGACAGCTGTCTCAGATATTTTGTGTTAACAATTTGGTGACCACAAAGGGATTCTGAATGGAGGTGTCCTTGACTTTTGACAAATCTCCTATGGGTGCTTGGTACTAGCTTGAAATACTTTTATGGCTCAAACTAATAAAACAATTTGCTGAGGCCTGGGAGCTCCCCTCCCTCCAGAAAATCCCTGATCTCCCAAAATTTGGTTGAGATCTAAAGTTTATTTTTCTGTACAATGCCTTTTCTGGAGATTTACGTGCTTCCAACGAGGAAGGCAAGTTTTTCTGCTTTCATGACAATGCAAGGCAGGTAACGCCTTTCTGGAGTTTGAGCTCACTTCCAACGGAGAAGGCAAGTTTGAGTTTTCTCCTGCTTCTAGGATAGTAGATAGCAGTCTTCAGCCTGAGACTCCTCCCTACGTAAATAGCTGAATTGGGGTTTTTATCTTAGCAAAAGTTAAGATTAACAACCAGCTGGTCTTAATTCCTCTTTACCATTAGAGCATTCGGTAATTGTATAATTTGTGCATCATTTGTTTTGCTTAAAATTTTTTTTGTTATTGTTGTAGTTTGTTTCTGTTTTTCTTGTTGTTTCAGTTTTTTGTCGTTTCTGTTTTTCTTGTTGTTTCAGTTTTTTGCATTGGTTTGACCAACTCTATCTGACGTAATCAAATCCAATATAAAGTTCAAATTTATGGGAAACAAGGCATCTGAAGTGGCTAAATTCCTGCACAAAAAGGTGGTGGCGGGGAGCAGAAAAAAAGGCCAGCCAAAAGAAAAAAAGCAAAAAGGAAAGATTTTTAATTAGACTACTTAAGTGGCTTTATTTACATAACAAGGCCACCTTTTTGCTAGCCAAGCCAAACTGAAAGAGCAATGGCTGTTGCCCCATGCTGCAATTCTGTTGTAGCTAAGGTTCTGCCTTCTTTTTTCCCGTGACAGCCTGGGTTTGGTTCCTAAATCAAGTCCTTTCTGGTTTGATACTTGTTACTTTTGAAATATCAGCAGTTTGTCCTAGCTAAAATATGGTAATGAGATTTTAAAAGACTTTTTTAAAGAAGCTCAATGTTTAAAAGTCAGCTTAATTAAAAGCTAGCATCAAAGATGTGTGTGTGTGCATGTGTGTGTTCGTATTTATGAAGCTTTTATGTTTTTTTCTCGCCTATGATCTTTTCTTCTTTGAGCAAAAGTTTTTCTTTTTCTTCTCAGCTGACTAAATTCTGTTTTCTTCATTTAATTCTGCTGTCTCACCTTTCTCTTGCTATTTTTTTCCTTTGCTTCATGAGGGACCTAAAATAGTTTGTAAGAGCCTGGGATTCCTTAAAGTAAACAGAGAAGGCATCAGGCTCCCTTCTGGGGAGAAACCTCTGTTTTTCCTTATGGAACCCCAACCCAGATCAAACAGCTTGCTTTTATATTGTGTTACTCGATTTCTTGACTAAAATAGTTATTCCAACAGAAACTATTCTTGAGTTCGTCCGACCCCTGGTGCGCCCCCACGGTAGGCAGAGCCCACGCTCCTGCCTCGCGGCTGGTCGGGGGTCCAGGCACCACGTCAACTGCGGCTCCGCAAAACACGCGGACCGGGCCGCAGCCCATACCCCAAGCAGACAGCGTTATGGAACATCTGCCTTAATTCTGCCCGGGCCAAGTGGTGCGGGACTTCGGCCGCAGCTCCAAGCAGGTGGGCATCCCCGCAGCTAATTTTCCTAAGCAAGTGGTAAATAATCTTCCAGCTAATATATCCATTGGCATTTACCCTTCATATATGATCACCCTTGTTATCTAATAGGGTTCTTCATCCTCCACCATCCCCCAGGTGATGTCTGACTACCTGGCTTGCCCTCAGCAATGGTCTTGTTATGTTGGTTTAACCAGAATCTCCCCTTATATCTGATGTTTCAAATTGATTCAAATTTTAGTAATTGTTTTATCCGCAGACACCTACCCTGTCCTTTGGATACAAATGCCCACTTTTTTTTATTTTTTTTTATTTTTGTAATCAGAATGGAGTTCAATCTCTCTCCTTTACTGCAAAATCCTATTGTGGTAGTAACCATACCTACTATGATAGTCTTTCTAGGTATAATCTGCCTTACCATTCTCTAACAAGTGTCATAAATAATGTTTTAACATCACCTAGCATTATATACAAACAAGGAAAAAAAGCAGAATAAATATGATTAAAATTAAGATGAGAGAAGGAAGAAGGGAGGGAAACCTCTTTCTTTCCTGCATAGAAGCCATTAAGGTAGCTCCGAAAACCTCGGTACACTTCTGTGGTAGTCTTGGTAATTTGAAAACACTAATTAACGTTTCTTTGGAGGTGATTAAAAGTAAATAATCTGCTGTACAGGTCTGCGACAATACTCTTCGTATGAACATCACTTTATAGTAGCAAGGGAGCTACTATTACCCTCTTAAATATAAAAGTCTCAGACTTTATGGGACTACTGGGACACTGCCTTCTAACATGAGTGTTAAACTATCTTGATACATAATATGGTAGTAGAAAAGAAACAAAACAAAATCCCGCAGGTTTTAGAAGTCTTATATTCTTTTCCAGCCTGCCTTTATTGGGTGGAGATGGGGGATGTCAATTATAAGTAAGCAGGTATGCATGGATTTCTATTTTTGCTTTACAAAAAGGGAAAAATATCAGATTTACACTTATGTCAGTGATAAGTCGGAAAATGTTCTCAAAGTGGAGAATGGCTGTGTTTTCTTGAACTTCTAAAAATAAAGTGTTTGGTATGAGGTGAAAATCTGTCATAAATATAGTAGTAACTTGTGATATGCTTCAATTTGGACAGAATGAGGCCTTCTTCTGCATTTAATTCATTCAGTGTTTACACTTTCTGAGATGACATCTGTACAGTATAGCATTAAACTGTCACAATCAATGCAATAAAATATTAATATGGAAATAGGTATTTTAAATGAAAGAAGATAACTGAATAACTGCTGCAGATTCTTACTCTGGGTGATACACTTGGAAGGGTCACACTTTGAGTACAAAAAACAAATCATTTATTTAAAATATCATATTTACCTATGACTTGTTCTTTCCTACATTAAATTAACATTAATATACTTTAGCAATTAAAAATACTACATGGCCAGGCATGGTGGCTTATGCCTGTAATCCCAGCACTTTGGGAGGTGGAGGCAGGCTGATAACTTGAGGCCAAAAGTTCCAGACTAGCCTGGCTAACATAGTGAAATCCTGTCTCTACTGAAAAATACAAAATTAGCTGGATGTGGTGACACACGCCTGTAATCCCAGCTACATGGGAAGCTGAGACAGAAGAATCGCTTGAACCTGGAAGGCAGAGGTTGCAATAAGCCAAGATTGTGTCACTGCACTCCAGCCTGGGCGACAGAGCAAGACTCTGTCTCAAAAAAAAAAAAAAAAAAAAGTGCTACAAACCATGTTTAGCCAGGATGAATTTTATCTTTGTACTTGTTATGATGAAAAGTTTTCTTAAGCAATTATGAGAAAATACCAAATAAAAAGCTTTTAAGTTAGTGAAGAAAATTTCCTGTTTTTTTTTTTTTTTTTTAAGAATTTAGAACTTTAATAATTTACAGCAAAAGGTCTACTGGTAATTACAAATGACTTTTACCTCTCCATTCAAGGAAACCTGATGGGACACCTTTTTGATATTTTTATTATTTAGCATTTTTGTATGCATTTTGATGTGATAAAAAAATTTATGTTATGTTATTCTAAAATCCAGCCCTCTAAGTGGTTCAAAATAGCTTTGTCTTACTTTAGACATAATTTTCTGTAATTATACTAAAATAGTCTAATTTTGTTTGCTTCTCATAGTAAAATAGAAACTAAAGTTTCTCTAGAACTTTATCAAATGTAATTTAATAAAGTACTGAAAATACTGTTAAAATATATTACCAATTGTCAATTATTAAAAAAATTCTTAGGTTGCTATATGCAAAGATATTGTAAAGTGTAAGGATAAGCTTTGATTTTCTGCTCTTAGACTTTGGAATTGGATTAAAATATAGCTTCCTTTTGGCTCATAGTCTTGTATCATATTATAACAAATTATTATAATCATTTGACAACTGTGTATTGAGCACTGGAAACAATGCTACCCTATATTTATTGAAAATTTCTATGTTCCAGTGACTTTTTGAAGTACCTATTTAAGTATTTTTATCATTCAATTCTTGCAATGAGCCAGTGAGCTAGGCGCTATTATTAGCTCCATTTTATAGATGAGGAAACAAAGGCAGAGAGAAGTTTAGTAACTTGCTTCTTGTGACAGTTAATTTTATGTGTGAACATGACTGGCCCATTAGGTGCCCAAATATTTGATTAAACATTATTCTGTGTGTTTCTGTAAGAGTGTTTTTGGATAAAATTAGCATTTAAATCAGTGGACTGGGTAAAACAGATTGCCCTTTATAATGTAGGTGGGCGTCATTCAGTTTGTTGAAGGCCTGAATAGAAAAGAAGGCTTCCTCTCTCTCACCTAAATCACCTAAATAAGAGAAATTCTCCTGCCTGAAGATTTTCAAACTGGGATATCAGCTATTCTTGATTCTACAACAGTTTCAGACCATCAGACTGGAACTGAAACATTGGCTCTGTATATTTTGGACTTGTCAGCCTACATAATTACATGTGCAAATCTCTGATAATTAATAAATAAACATCATAAATACCCTATTTATTCTGTTTCTCTGGAGAATCCTGACTAGTACATCTTAGGTCACACAGTCATTAAAGAAGGGCACTAAACTTTGAACTCAAGCTATCTATATTTATTTGCCTTCTTTCTTATTTTATTTTATTTTATTTTATTTTTTGAGAAGGGGTTTCACTCTTGTTGTCCAGGCTAGAGTGCAGTGACGCGATATCGGCTCACGGCAACCTCCGCCTCCCAGGTTCAAGCGATTCTCCTGCCTCAGCCTCCCAAGTAGCTGAGATTACAGGCATGAGTCACCATGCCTGGCTAATTTTGTATTTGTAGTGGAGTTGGGGTTTATCCATGTTGGTCAGGCTGGTCTCGAACTCCCGACCTCAGGTGATCCGCCTGCCTCGGCCTCCCAAAGTGCTGGGATTACAGGTGTGAGCCACCGTGCCTGGCTATTTGCCTTCTTAAACCTTCCATTTTATTGTGTTTTCTAAAACAGTGTAAGATAATTACTGATTTGATCTTCATTTGGCAGGCTCTCAAATCTTTATAAATAATTGTTTCATAAACCCGTTGCCACCCCAAATACACACTTCTCCAAGGTAAAAATCCTAAGTCATCTTAATTCCTACTTTGACATATTTTTGAAAGTTTATGCTGCACTTGATAATGCCTTGTCCACATTTGCCATGTTCTTACTAACAAGTGCTGCTCAGAACTGGACATGCCTGATGTGCTCAAACCAAGAGAGAATATATTAAAACTATCACCTCCTTTTATTTAATCCCTATTTCTTTTAATAAAGTCAAATAATTTATTTGTTTACTTGTTTATTTAGCAGCCACATCACACTGTCTACAGTTACTAACATTTTGGTCAATTAAAAATCCTAGTTTCCCTTCCGCAAATTACTTTCCAACAGTGTCTTTCTCATCTTGCGCTTACATATTTTTAAAGGATAAAATATTGAATTTTCATTCATAGATGAGAAAACTGAGTGCTGCTCGTGTAACTTTTCAGAGGAAGAGCCAAGAGTAAAATTCATATCTTTTGACTATTATCCTAGTATTTAATGAATTATTTGCCAATGTTAAATTATTTTATAACACATTAATATGTATCAGTCTTATTTTGTTTTCTTAAAGGTAATTTGCCTATTTTTCCCAGGTACTTTTAATAATTTCTCTTTTTCTTTGATTTTTATCATGTTTACTATTTTCTTATCCTCCTTGGTATTTGTAAGACTTCTTTAGTCTGTGGCTTGATAGCGCTTGCCAGTTTTTGGCAAACTGCCAATGGTTATTTTTCCAAATATTGTTTGCTGTTTCTGCATATTCCTCTCTCTCCTCTTTTATGTGGGGTAAAATTAAATTTATGTTAGGCCTTGTTACTATTATAGATAGATAGATAGGTAGATAGATAGATAGATGGATAGTTAGATAGATGATAGATAGATAATATATGCAACTCTGCCTCCCATTTTGGTTCCTAAATAAGATGGATACAAAGATGAAAAGCTACATACCTCCCTGACATTTTGCCTACAAGAAAATTTATTTGGGGCCTAAAGATATTTACCCTGAAGCATTTCTGTTAAAGTTTACCATGGCATTGTGAGAGCTCATCTACACCAGTGCAGGGACATAGGTCAGAACTCAAAGTAATTCCTCTGCCCACATGAGAGAAATGGATATCTGGTTGTTTCCTCTGCCCTATTGTCTACTTTATCTTTTGTAAACATGCAGATTCATTGAGCCAGACAAAGGCATGAAGGACTATTTTTCCCTACCTCGCCCCACATAAAAATTTTGTATTTCTCAATATCCCACCCTTTTCTCTTTAAATATTGAAGCCCTCAAAATCATCTTCAGAGAAAGACACATAAATATCTCTCAGGAACGTGTGCTTAACTTTGGCAAATAGACCTCCTAAAATGATTGAGACTTGTCAATCATTTTCCTTAATTGACTATACATATAATAATAGTATATATACACATAACATATAATACATATTATGTATATATAAAATATACATGGTATAAATTATATATAGTATATATTATATATTATATACTATTATATATTATATATATATAATATATATATAATATATAATAGTACATATTATATATACTAT
Organism: Homo sapiens; assembly: GCF_000001405.40. Taxonomy (NCBI): domain Eukaryota; kingdom Metazoa; phylum Chordata; class Mammalia; order Primates; family Hominidae; genus Homo; species Homo sapiens. Next base: position 88,977,172 of record NC_000023.11, on the reverse strand, counting down.
ATTATATAGAATATACAGAATATATTATATATACTATATATTATATACTATATACTATAGTATATATTATATTATATACTATATACTATAGTATATATTATATTATATAATATATACTATAGTATATAATATAATATAATACATACTATATACATTATATATAATATATAATATATAATATATAGTATATACTGTATACATTATATATAATATATAGTATATAATATATACTATATACTATATACATTATATATAATATATATACTATATACTATATACTATATACTATATACATTATATATAATATATACTGTATATTATATAATATATAATATATAATGTATATATTTTATATATAATATATATCATATGTTATATATATTTTATATATAATATATATCATATGTTATATATATTTTATATATAATATATATCATATGTTATATATATTTTATATATAATATATATCATATGTTATATATATTTTATATATAATATATATCATATGTTATATATATTTTATATATAATATATATCATATGTTATATATATTTTATATATAATATATATCATATGTTATATATATTTTATATATAATATATATCATATGTTATATATATTTTATATATAATATATATCATATGTTATATATTTTATATAATATATATCATATGTTATATATTTTATATAATATATATCATATATTATATATTTTATATATATTATATATCATATATTATATATTATATATACTATATAATAGTATTATATTTAATATATAGTATATAATAGTACACTATTGTATATTATATATTAAATATGATATATATCTAATAGTATAATATTATATTATATATAATATACATAGTATAATCTATATAATATATAATATGTATTATATATTATATATTATATATAATAATTTGTAATATATAATAATATAATAGTATATATTATATATATAATATATATTATATTGACTACATATTATAGTATAGTCAATCAAGAAATATATATTCTATATATAGTATATTGACTACATATGATAGTATATATAGTCAATCAAGAAATATATATTATATTTACCTTTATATATGTGTTTACATATTATGCGCATAAATATCTTTTTTGCATTTAAATCAGTTTTATTATCTATTGTCTCTCTATTATCATAATCCATTATTATTTTCTTTTGCTTGTTAATTTTTTATGTGTCTAATTATTATATTGAATATTATGTGTCTAATTATTATATTGAATATTATATGTCTAATTATTATATTGAATGCTGAAGATTCTACATTAAAAATTGTCAAAATAATTTTAGGCTTTATAATTTTATCATTATTCAGACAGTATTTATGTTTTCTTCTGGCAAGTGTTTAAATATACTAGTAATCCCAGATCATCTTTATCTAATTTCAGGAACTAATTTGAAACCAGACATCAGACATTGTTACACTAAATATTTCGGGTTTACATTTACATCTGGAACATAACATTTCAGTAGTGCAATTCAAATCCTGGTGGGTTTTTTAGGGCCTTTATTTCTTGGTAGGTGCCGAACTTCAGCTGAGATTTTTGTTTCTTTAAATCTGAATAAGTGTCAAATTCTGTTCATTTTCTTGACTGCTTAGCAGCCTCTTTAAGAAAACTAGCCATAAATCCCAAGCTTTTTCTTTTGGTTTTTCTTCAACACTGAGATTATTCTGGACAGCTTTCTACTACTACCTTGGTAGCACTCAAATGACTTTACATCACTGTTTATTTTTAAAGTTTACTCTTGCTTTTCTGACTTCATTGTAAAGTTTGGTATTCTTAAGAGTACAGCTTGATTAATTAATTTTTATATGTGTGTATAATCCTATTACCACTACCTGTATTAAAATAAAGACTATTTCCACTCTAAGGAAGAAATAGTAATATATTCCTTTTCCGTACCCATTGCAAGTTTCATGGCTGAGGCCCCTATAAAAAAAGAGAGATTAACAATAAAAAAGCATGCAAATGTATTTGTTATAAATTTTATGTTACACAGAAATGAAGACCCAAACAGGTAAAACTGTGTATGTTTGTATGTGTGCATGTGTGTGTGTGTGTCTGTGCTTGTATATATACACACATATTTGTACACAAATATATATATACAAATATGTGTGTTTATATATATTTATGCACACACACACACACTATATATATACACACACACTCACACATATTGTTGTTGTTTTCTTAGAAACAGAGTCTCACTCTTTCACCAAAGCTGGAGTGCAGTGACATGATCATAGCTCACTGCAGCCTCCAACTTCTGGGCTCAAGTGATTCTCCCACCTCAACCTCTCAAGCGTGGGATTACAGGTGAGGGTCCCAGCACCCGGCCCCAGAAAACTGTGCATTTTCATAACCAGTCATGCAGAAGTATGATTGGAGGACAAAGGGTGTGATCTAATGGTAATAAGTTATGAAAACCTAGCAAGGCCTATCTGTTGTATTTTTCTTGACTTCTTTGGGTGCCATTCCTTTTCTCTGGGTATAGGTAGGACCCGTTGGAAATAAAGATCTTATGACCTACTTTAGAAAAAGGTCAGATAGTTCTTTTATGGGCTGCTTTAGGGGAGAAAAGAAAGGCAAAGGAAATGAGACAATGACTTTCCTACTTTTGCCGTTTCCTTAAATGCCAAGGTGCCACATTTTGGAGTACTGTGACCTGAATTTTACTCCACCATAACAGAAGTCTCCCTCATGTCACCTCTCAGTCGATACCCTCTCAAAGGAACTACTATTCTGACTTCTAGTACAATAGAGCAGTTTTGCTTATTCTTGAACGTCAAATAAATGGAATCATACAGTATTAACCTTATAGTGTCTTGCTTCTTGTACTCAAGTTTATATCGTTGAGATTCATTTATGCTGTAGCTTATAATAGTTTATTATTTTCTTTTTTTTAGACTGGGTTTGCTCTGCCACCTAGGGTGGATTGCAGTGGTGTGATCACAGGTCACTACAGCCTCAACCTCCTGGCCTCAAGCAATCCTTTTGCCTCAGCCTTCTGAGTAGCTGGGACCACAGGTATGCACCACCACACATGGCTAATTTTTTATTTATTTTTTTACTTTTTGTAGAGACACGGTCTCACTATTTTGCCCAAGCTGATCTCTAACTTCTGGGCTCAAGGGATTCTCCTGCCTCAACCTCCCAAAGTGTCAGGATTACAGATGTGAGCCACTTTGCCTTGCCAGTTTTTCTATTGCAGCCTTGCATCCCACGGTATAAATATATAAAAATGTATTTATTCATTCCACTGTTGATGAAAGTTTGGGTTGTTTTCAAACTTTTTGGCTGTTTACAAAGCCTACATTAATATTTTTGGACATTATTTTAGTAGCTAAAAATAAAAATTTCTGTTAGGTAATGTGGAATTTTTGTATGATAACATATATTTATATTGATATTTAATACATGCTGCTAATAGCTTTCAAAAGTGATTATAACACTTTACACTCCCATGGACAATGTATGAAAGTTTGAGTGTCTCCACAGTCTTTCTAAGACTTTATATAACATATTCTTTTAAAAATATTAGTGTTTGTAGGCTGGGCGCTGTGGCTCACGCCTGTAATCCCAGTACTTTGGGAGGCCCAGGTGGGCGGATCACGAGGTCAGGAGTTCAAGACCAGCCTGGCCAAGATGCTGAACTCTCATCTCTACTAAAAATGCAAAAAAAAAAAAAAAAAATAGCTGGGGGTGGTGGCACGTGCCTGTAATCTCAGCTATTTGGGAGACTGAGGCAGAAAATTTCTTTCTTTTTTTTTTTTTTGAGACGGAGTCTCACTCTGTCGCCCAGGCTGGAGTGAAATGGTGCGATCTCGGTTCACTGCAACCTCCGTCTCCCGGGTTCAAGCAATTCTCCTGCCTCAGCCTCCTGAGTAGCTGGGATTACAGGCACACACTACCACGCCCAGCTAATTTTTGTATTTTTAGTAGAGATGGGGTTTCACCATGTTGGTCAGGCTGGTCTCGAACTCTTGACCTTGTGATCCACCCGCCTCGGCCTCTCAAAGTGCTGGGATTACAGGCATGAGCCACCATGCCTGGCAGAGGCAGAGAATGTCTTAAACCCAGGAGGCGGAGGTTGCAGTGAGCCAAGATTGCGCCAGGGCACTCCAGCCTGGGCACACAGTGAGACTCTATCTCAAAAAAATATATATATATATATGTGTATGTGTGTGTGTGTGTGTGTGTGTGTGTTTGTAGTGAAAGAATAGTGGCATTTTATTGTAGTTTTAATTTGTATTTTTCTGACGAATAAAAAATTAAGTAAGATTCACATATTTAATAGCCATTAGGAAATATTTTTTGAAGTGCCTATTTAAGTTATTTAAGTGTTTGGTTCATTTTTTTTTTTTTTTTGAGACCGAGTCTCACTCTGAAGCCCAGGCTGGAGTGCAGTGGCGCGATCTCGGCTCACTGCAAGCTCCGCCTCCTGGGTTCACGCCATTCTCCTGCCTCAGCCTCCTGAGTAGCTGGGACTACAGGCACTCAGCACCATGCCTGGCTAAATTTTTGTATTTTTAGTAGAGATGGGGTTTCACCGTGTTAGCCAGATGGTTTCGACCTGCTGACTGGTTCATTTTTTAAAAATTGGATTGCCTTTGTCTTACTTATTTGTTGTATTTTAAAAATATGTTCTTATTACTATTTTTTCTCACATAAATATAATACAAATATCTTCTCCCACTCTGCTGTTTGATGGTATCTTTGATATAAAGAAATTAAGTTTAATGACATCTATTTAATATGTTTTTAATGGTTAGTGCCTTTTGGGCTCTATTTAAGAAGTCTGTATATTTTACATTTGCAAAGATATTCTCTTAATTTTCTAGAAGTTATATTGTTTTATCTTTCATAAGTAAACCAGTTATCTATCTCAAAATAATTTTGCATATGATAGATGTGGATATGGTTTGGCTCTGTGTCTCCACCTAAATCTCATCTCAAATTATAATCCGCGCATTATCAGGGAGGGACCTGATGGGAGGTGACTGGATCATGGGGGCAGTTCCCCCATGCTGTTCTCATGACAGTGAGTTCTCATGAGATCTGATGGTTTAAAGATGTGTGGCACTTCCACCTTTGCTCTTTCTCTCCCCTGCCTCCATGTAAGACATGCCTTGCTTCCTCTTCAACTTCCACCATGATTGTAAGTTTCCTGAGACTTCCCCAGCCATGCAAAACTGTGAGTCAATTAAACATCATTTCTTTATAAATTACCCAGTCTTATATAGGTTTTTTTTTTGTTTTGTTTTGTTTTTGTAACAGGGTCTGGCTCTGTCACTCAGGCTGGATTGCAATGGCATAATCTTGGCTCACTGCAACCTCTGCCTCCCAGGCTTAAGCCATTCTCCCACCTCAGCCTCCCAAGTAGCTGGGACTACAGGCGCACACAACAACACCCTACTAATTTTTGTATTTTATTTAGTTATTGTTATTATTTTTTTTTGTAGAGATAGGTTTTCACCATGTTGGCAAAGCTGGTCTTGAACTTCTGAGCTCAAGCAATCTGCCCGCCTTGACCTTCCAAAGTTCTGGGATTACAGACATGAGCCACTGCACCTGGCCCAGTCTCAGGTAGTTCTTCATAGCAGTGTGAAAATGGACTAGTATAGATAATTGATACCAGGAGTCGGGTATTGCTATGCAGATACCTCAAAATGTGGAAGCAACCTTGGAACTGAATAGCAGGATGAGGTTGGAATAATTGGGAGGGTTCAGAAAAAGACAGGGAGATGTGGGAAAGTTTGGAACTTCCTAGAGACTTGTAGAATGGTTTTGACCAAAATTCTGATAGTGATATGAACAAAGAAGTCCAGGCTGAGGTGGCCTCAGATGGAGATGAGAAACTTACTGGGAACTGGAGCAAAGTTCACTCTTGCTATGCTTTAACAAAGAGACTAGCAGCTTTTTGCCCCTGCCCTGGAGATCTGTGAAACTTTGAACTTGAGAGAGATGATTTAGGGTATCTGGTTTAAGAAATTTCTAAGCAGGAAAGCATTCAAGATGTAACCTGGCTGTTTCTAAAAGTGTACAGTCATATGTGTTCACAAAGAGATGATCTGAAATTGGAACTTATGTTTAAAAGGGAAGCAGAGCATAAAAGTTTGGAAAATTTATAGCCTGACCATGTGGTAGAAAAGAAAATCCAATTTTCTGGGAAGAAATTTAAGCCAGCTGCAGAAATCTGTGTAAGTAACTGGGAACTGAATGTGAATAACCGAGACAATTGGGAAAGCAGCTCCAGGGCATTTTAGAGCTTTTCAAGGCAGCCCCTCCCATCACAGGCCTGAAGGCCTGCCTAGAAGGGAAAAATGGGCTTTGGGCTGAGCCCAGTGCCCTGCTGCTGCGTGCAGCCTCAGGACATGGTGCCCTGCATCCCAGCTGCTCCAGTTCCAGCCATAGCTTAAAGGGGCCAAGGTACAGCTCAGGCAATTGCTTCAGAGGGTGCAAGCCCAAAAGTTAGGTGGTTTCCACGTGTTGTTGTGCTTGCAGGTGCACTGAAAGACAAGAGTTGAGCTTTGGGAGCCTTTGCCTAGATTTCAGAGGATGTATGGAAACGCCTGAGTGTCCAGGCAGAAATCTGCTGCAGGGCTGGAGCCCTTAAGGAGAACATCTGCTAGGGCAAGGCAGAGGGGACATGTGGGCTTGGAGCCCTCACACAGAGTCCCCACTGGGGCACTGTCTAGTGGAGCTGTGAGAAGAGGGCCACCATCTTCCAGACCACAGAATGGTGGAATCACCTACAGCTTGCACTGTGCATCTGGAAAGGCCATAGGCACTCAACACCAGCTTGTGAAAGGACACATGGAAGCTGCACCCTTCAGAGCTACAGGGACAGAGCTGTCCAAGGCCTTGAGAGCCCACCTTTTGCATCAGTATGCCCTGGATATGAGACATGCAGTTAAAGGAGATTATTTTAGAGCTTAAAGATTTAATGACTGCCCTGTTGGGTTTTGGACATGCATGAGGCCTGTAGCCTCTTTGTTTTGGCCAATTTCTCCCATTTGGAATGGGCGCATTTACTCAATGCTTGTACCCCCACTGTATTTTGGAAATAACTAACTTGCTTTTGATTTTACAGGCTCATAGGTGGAAGGGACTTGCCTTATCTCAGATGAGACTTTGAACTTGGACTTTTGAGTTAATGCTGGAATGAGTTAAGACTTCGGGGGCCTGTTCAAAGGCATGATTGTGTTTTGCAATGTGAGGACATAAGATCTGGGGAAGGGGCCAGGTGTGGAATGACATGGTTTTGCTCTGTGTCCTCACCCAAATCTCATCTTGTATGGTAATCCTCACATGTAGGAGTAGGGACATGGTGGGAGGTGACTGGATCATGGGGGTGGTTCCCTCATGCTCTTTTCATAATAATGAGTGGGTTCTGATGAGATCTGATGGTTTCAAAGTGTGTGGCACTTCCCCCCTGAATCTCTCTCTCTCATGCCATCATGTAAGACATGCCTGGCTTCCCTTTTACTTTCTGCCATGAATGTTAGTTTCTTGAGGCCTCATTTGCCATGTGGAATTATGAGTAAATTAAAACTTTTTTCTTTATCAATTATCCTGTCTCGGGTTGTTCTTTATAGCAGTGTAAAAATGGACTAATACAGATGTTAAGGATAAGTTTTTTTTTATTTTACAATATCAACATCCAATTGACTTGACACCATGTATTAATAAGATCAACTATCCTTTACTTAATTTCATGAATTATTTCTTGTAACTAAGATGTCTATATATTTGTGGATCTGATTCTGGACTCTATTCTCCTTCCTTGTCTTTTTTTTTCTTTCTTTTGCCAGTAAAACACTTATATTTATGAACTTTATATATCTTGATATCTAATATGGACTGAATTGTTTTCCCCCACAATTCATACATTGAAGTCTTAAACCTAAATTCACTCTATTTGGAGGTAGAGTTTTTAAGGAGGTATTTAAGGCTTAGTGAGGTCTTAAGCATAGAATCCTAATCTGATAGGACTGGTGTTCTTACAAGAAAGGAAGAGACATCAGAGAGTGTGCTTTCTGTGTTTCTGTCTCTCTGTATATACTTATGCACAGAGGAAAGAAAGTGTAAGAACACAGTAAGAAGGCAGCTGTGTGTAAGCCAGGAAGAAAGGCCTTATCAGAAACTAGCCCTGCCAGCATCTTGATCTTAGACTTTGAGATAATGTTTCCTTTGTATAAACCACCCAATCTGTGGTGTTTAGTTATGGCATCCTGAGCAAACTAATACAATACTGTAGTTTCTCCTTATCCACAATTTTGCTTTTCATGATTTCAGTTACCTGTGGTTCAGTAAAATAAAATACTGAGAGAGAGAGAGAGAATAAGAAAGAACAAATTCACATAACTTTTATTACAGTACATTTTTATAATTGTTCTATTTTATTATTAGTTATATTTTATTAATGTCTTATTATGCTTAATTTATAAAATAAGTGTTATCATAGATATATATGTATAGGAGAAAATAGTATGCATAGGGCTTGATATTAGCCATCATTTCAGGCATCCATTTTGTGTCATAAAATATATCCCCTGAAGATAAGGAAGCACTACTCTACCCATTAGTATAATTCCTTGCATTTTATTCTTTTTCACATAGATTTTAGAATCAGATTTTCAATGTATGCTCACACAAACATACAAACTTTGTGGGATTTAATTAATATTACATTGAATCTATAACTCAAAATAAGAATTGTTGTGGTAGAAATACTGTCTCATGAATTTGCTATATTCCTCCATTGGTTTAGGTTCTCTTTAATGACTCTCAGCAGTGTTTTATTGTTTTCAATGTAAATATATTAGATGTATTTGTTTATATTTATTCCTAGATATTTGAAATTTTTAATGCTATTGTATATTATTTTTTAATATTTTTAATTGTTTATTGAAAATATAGTTACAATGAACTTTTATATATGCACCTCATATTGTGTAACATGGCTAAATTTCCTTATTAATTCTACTAGTTACATTGTGGATTATTTTGGGTTTTCTATACATAGAATCATGTCATCTAGAAAAGTGACACTTTTCATCTCATTGCACTTGAAAGGACTTACAGTTAGTTCATTGCTGAAAATAACATGTAGTAGTGTAGAGCTTTGTCTTGTCTGTGAATTCAGGGAATGACCATACAATATTTCATAATCATATAAAATATTACCAATGGCTTTTTTAGATACTTAAAAAAATTGATCTTTTGTAATCACTTTTATGAGATTTTTAAAAATAACAACTAAATTTTGGATTTTTCAAATGCTCTTCCCACTTCTGTTGAGGTAATCATATTGCTTTTATCATTTATTCTGCTAATGTAGTAAATCATATTAATTTATTTTCTAATATTAAATCAATCTGCATTATGGTAGTTGTAATTAAATCCATTTTCTATATCATAGATTTGATTTACCAATATTTGCCTTTGGCGTTTTGTATCTATATTGATGAGAGATATTTGTCTGTAATTTTTTTATGGCCTCATCAGACATTTATCTCAAAGTTATTCTGACCTTATAAATTGAAGTGGGAAATGTTCTGTATTTTTCTACATTCTGGAAGAGTTGGGTAAATTTTGTTATTTTTTAAGTTAAATATTTGGAAGATGACACCAGTAAGTCATTTGTGTGCAGATCTTTCTTTATAGAAGAAATTTATTTGTAGAAATTTAATTATCTAATATGCAAAAGACTATTCAGGTTTTCCTATTTCTCCATGTTCTTCTAAGGTGAATTTTCAAAAAGTTTATGAATTTGTGAATTTATTCAAAATTGTCAGTTTTATGAGCAAGAATCTGTTCATAATATTCATTTTTAAAAATATCTATAAAAGTTTTGATGATGTTCTTTTAAAATTGGATACTGCTAATTTATTTTTTTTCTCTTTTTTGGTGAGTCTTGGAAGAGGTTTAATCCTTTTTAAACTTTCAAAAAACAAATGGTTTTGCTAATTTTCTTTAGTGTATATTAACTTTCTATTTTATTTATTTTTGCTTTTAAATTTATTATTTTCTTCTTTTTACTTCATTGCATTTTAATTTCCTCTTAATTTTTCATGATCTTCGAAAGGAAGCTTAGAATATCTATTGGAAATCTTTTATTTTATTTTATTTTATTTTATTTTATTTTATATTTAGAGATGGTGTCTCACTATGTTGCACACTTTGGCTTGATCTCCTAAGGTTAAGCAATCCTCTTGCCTCAGCCTTCTAGGTAGCTGGAATTATAGGCACACGCCACCATGTCTGCTTTTAATTTTTATATCATAACTTAAGGCTATAAATTTGTCTATAATTCTTCTATAGCTGTGTTCCACATGTTTTGATATGTCCTATTTTAATTTGCATTCACTGAAAATATGTTTCAATTCATGTTGTGATTGGTTTTTTGATCCATGGATTATTTAAATATGTGTTGTTTAATTTTCAAAAAGTGATAATTCTTAAAAATTCTCTTTATATTAGTGATTTCTAGATTTATTTCACTGTGGTCAGAGACAATAATCTCTAAGACTTTAATTCTTTGACACATATTAAATGTTACTTTAAACACCAAGTATGATATATTTTGGTAAATGTTCCATGTATACTTCAAGAAAATGTCTACATGGCATATGTTTTATGTAGAGTTCTTTATATGGAATTAAGTTCAAGTTTTCTATATTGTTTATAATTTTTTGTTCTGCTTCTTTTGATCAGTTACTGTGTGTGAAAGCCTCCTACTGGGATTGTAAATTTGCCTCTTTCTCTTTTCAGTTGTGTCAAGTTTTGCTTTACGTATTTTGAGTATAAATTATGAGATACATAAACATTTAGAATTTTTAGCATCCTTTTCAATAAATCCTTTCATTACTAAGACATCTGTGTCTTAATTTCTGTAATACTTTTTGACCTAAAGTTTAATTTGTCTATATTAATTTAGCTACAACAACTTTTGTTTGCTTAGTGTTTTTATAATATATCATTTTCATTCCTTTACTTTAAACTTTGCTCTTTCATAAACACAACCAGGAGCCCATAATTTTTGTTGTTTTTAATTACATGAAACCTGAGAATCTCTGTTTTTGAACAGGTATTTGGTTTCTGTGTAATTAATTGTTAATAAACAATTTCTGTTTAAATAATTGTCATTGTCATAGCATCCTTTTTTTCTTTGCATTTTTTTCTTGTCTGAAGTATTCTATTTATGATTCATTATAAACATGTTGACTTTATGGTCTCTTTCATACTATTTTATTACTTCTTGTAACTGGAAAACAAATTATCATGTTTGTTTCTTTTGCTGAATTTATTTCCTTATTATTTGTATCCTCAGATGACACGTGACATTTTTACTGAGGCTTTCTTCAGTGAAAGTAACCTCTTTATTCCCCCATAAACAACCTGTATATAATAGTTTTCCTAGAGAAGATTTTTTCCCCTGTTATATTTTCAGTGGTTTTACCTGCATGAGACAGTTTTTCTCTTCATCGTTACTGTCTAAACTTGACTGTTGTACTAAATGAGTAGCATTAATTTGGAGCTTGCACATAGGACAGACTTACACTTTCAGTTTCTTATAAGATGTGTTTTTTGATTTTGTTTTGGTTTTTTTTCTACCTGAGAACCCAAGAGCTGCTTAGGAGTAGGAATTTTCCAATCCTTTTTCAATGATTGAATTAAAATAAAAGGTACTGGTTTAATTCAGATTCTCAGGACCCACATTCCACACTGGGCAGTCCTGAAGCCATGCATTTGCTTTATTTCTAGATATTAAAAACCAAGCCCTTTGCCATTTGTTTAATATCCATCAGGACCACTGTGGTATTTGCCTTAATTTACTTTTCTGGCTTTAAATTCCTTTTTTGTTTCTAGCACTTGGGAATTTCTTTATCTTTTAATTTCAGCTACAAATCTTGTAAAATACATCTATCATAGTCTATGTATGTGTTTCTAGCAGAAGAGGAATCTGCATCACTTTAGTCAATCATGTGTTGGAACTCAACTTTGGTATTTTAGGCAGAGATAGTGTCTTTTCTAAAACTCTTTTTGTATCTCTTGCATATCAAAAAAAGTCTCACTTAAATTTCAGCTAATAATGAAGAAATTAAGTGATTGATTAATATTGTGTCCAGTAAAATAAAACATAATGGGAAACCTTCAATTAATGCCCCCTTATATGTACAAGTGATATTTACAAGTACAAAAGGTTTTTTAGAACCACTCCAACAATTAGGAAACAGAAAGACTAATAAAAGTAAAATTTTCCAAGGGCAGCATGACCTATTACCAACTAGAATAGTATCTGCTTTGCATGTTTTGATAAAAGTGTATCTGCAAATGGTGACAACACAGCTCAAAATTAAATATTGCTAATTACTACATTAATTTAAAACTACATGAAAAAACAAAGTAATCTAATTAAGGTTAATTGCAAATCCTAACAACAAGAATGTAGAGATTACAGCAGGGGAGCTATATGGGCAATTTTTTCCTAATAGGCGACATTATTATCAACATGTATTAAACAAGACACTGCATGTCTTGGTTCTCAAATTTTAGGTATTTTTCTCAATTTGAATCATCTGCGTGAGATCATTGTCATTTAGCTAATCTATCTGTAAGGAAATAATATTACTCTGTAGTTCTGCAGTGCCCAAACACTTCCTATATTCTGCCAAGCAGACAGCACTTTTAGGAAGCTGGCAACCTGAACAGAAACACAAGGTTCACTGGATTTTGTTTGTTTCACCTTTTTTATTGGTAAGTTACCACATTGGCTTAAGAAAAATTAAGATACCCTTTTATTTGTATTTGAATTCTATATTAATATGTGCATAAATTGTTTAATCGATTTTGAGATTATGAACAAAAGGTGTTTTAAGGACGTTTTCTGTAATCATACTTTGTTAAAAAACGCAAACTAAACATACTCGGAGCTCAAATAAGTGAAAGTTGTCCCAAATCTGCCTTTGTTACTTTTATATGATGTGCAATTAAATACTCTTCCACTATTTTTTGGTCTCCAGTTATCTAAACAACAACATGGCTTTTTATTCAGGATTGAATAAAAATTGCATAGGATACATAAAATCAACACAAGTGGCTGAAAAGTTGAAATACATTCTAATGAATGTTTCAAGTTTATTTCATAGTATCAATAGGACAAGCAGAAAAAGTGCGAATTTAAAATGTGACCAATTCTTTGAATCAATAAAATGGTCTCCATGTGCAATAAATTTTCCTTTTTTTCCCCCCTATTGTGCTTTTTATTTTAATTTACTTAATTACCTCTAGCTTTTTTCATGTATCTTTCAGTTACACTTTTTGGTATATTCCTGGATGGTAAAGATTAACTCTATCTAATTCTTGGATTTTGTTATGCACAGGATATGTATACACACACATACACATACACACACACATCTGAAAAATTGGAAGTTGAAGAAATTAAAGAGATATCATTTTGGTAACCTGCTATAGAGTAGCTTTTCCACTTTAAATATATATAAAGTTTAACAGAGAAAAAAATAAATACACGAGTGATGATAGTGCATATATGTAATTTGAAAGCCCTGAAAAAAATGTATAGCTTATATACACATGAATTATATTAACTAATCTTATTTAGTTTTTTAAAAAAAATTCTTTTATTTTATTTTGCAGGAAGCCAATTAAGAAAAAGAATAAAAACAATAAATTAATAGTAAGTAAACTTGGTTCCTAGTCCTTACTCTGGTATTGTATTAGTCTGTTTTCATGCTGCTGATGAAGAAATACCTGAGACTGGGCAATTTACAAAAGAAAAAGCTTTAATGAACTTACAGTTCCATGGGGCTGGGGAGGCCTCACAATCATGGTAGAAGGTGAAAGAGAAGAGTTTCTCTTAGCGGCAGACAAGAGAAGAGAGTGTGCAGGGAAACTCCCCTTTTAAAACCATCAGATCTTGTGAGACTTATTCATTGTCATGAGAACAGCATGGGAAAGGCCTGCCCCACGATTCAATTACTTCCTACTGGGTCTCTCCCACAACACATGGGAACTCAAAATGAGGTTTGGGTGGGAACACAGCCAAACCGTATTATTCCATCCTAGACCGTCTCAAATCTCCTGTCCTCACATTTCAAAATCAATCATACCTTCCCAACAGTCCCCCAATGTATTAACTCATTTCAGCATTAACTCAAAAGTCCACAGTCCAAAGTCTCATCTGAGACAAGGCAAGTCCCTTCCTCCTATGAGCTTGTGAAATCAAAAGCAAGTTAGTTACTTCCCAGATACAATGGGGGTACAGGTATTGGGTAAATAACAGCTGTTCCAAATGGGAGAAATTGGCCAAAGCAAAGGGGCTACAGGTTCCATGCAAGTTCTAAATCCAATGGGGCAGTCAAATCTTAAAGCTCAAAAATGATCTTTGACTCCATGTCTCACATCCTGTTCACACTCATGCAAGAGGTGGGTTCCCATGGCCTTGGGCAGCTCTGCCCCTGTGGCTTTACAGGACACAGCCTCCCTCCCGGATGATTTCATGGGCTGGTGTTGAGTGTGTGTGGCTTTTTCAGGCACACTGTGCAAGCTGTTGGTGGATCTACCATTCTGGGGGCTGGAAGATGGTGGCCCTCTTCTAACAGCTCCACTAGGTGGTGCCCCAGTAGGGACTCTGTGTGGGACCTCCAATCCTACATTCCTCTTCTGCATTGCCTTAGCAGAGGTTCTCCATGAGAGCCCCACCCCTGCACCAAACTTCTCCCTGGACATCTAGGCATTTCCACACATACTCTGAAATCTAGGCGGAGGTTTCCAAACCCCAATTCTTGAGTTCTATGCACTCACAGGCTCAACACCATGTGGAAGCTGCCAAGGCTGGAGGCTTCCACCCACTGAAGCCATGACCTCAGCTCTACATTGGCCCTTTTCAGCCACAGCTGGAACAGCTGGGATGCAGGACACCAAGTCCCTAGGCTGCACATAGGGAGCCTGGGTCTGGCCCATGAAACCACTTTTTCTATTAGGCCTCTGGTGCCTGTGATAGGAGGGACAGCCATGAAGACCTCTGACATGCCCTGGAAACATATTTCCCATTGTCTTGGGGATTAACAGTCAGCTCTTCGTTACTGATGCAAATTTCTGCAGCTGTCCAGAATTTCTCCTCAGAAAATGGGATTTTCTTTTCTATTACATTGTCAGGCTGCAAATTTTCTGCACTTTTATGCTCTACTTT
The DNA here is from genome assembly GCF_000001405.40 of Homo sapiens. Lineage (NCBI taxonomy): Eukaryota > Metazoa > Chordata > Mammalia > Primates > Hominidae > Homo > Homo sapiens. Next base: position 88,961,910 of record NC_000023.11, on the reverse strand, counting down.
CTTTTTAAATCTGAATACCCCTTGAATGCATCCACGTCACCTCTTGAATGCTTGGCTGCTTAGAAATTTCTTCTGCCAGATATCCTAAATAATGTCTCCTAAGTTTAAAGTTCCACAAATCTCTATGGCAGGAGCAAAATGCTGCCAGTCTTTTTGCTAAAACATAACAAGAGACATCTTTGCTCCAGTTCCCAACAAGTTCCTCATCTCCATCTGAGACCACCACAGCCTGGATTTCATTGTCCATATCATTATCAGCATTTTGAGCAAAGTCATTCAACAGGTCTCTAGGAAGTTCCAAATTTTTCCACATTTTCCTGCCTTATTCTCAGCCCTCCAAACTGTTACAACCTCTGTCCGCTACCCAGTTTCAAAGTTGCTTCCACATTTTTGGGTAACTTTTCAGGAGCAAGGAATATTTCCAAACTCATTCTATGAGGCCAATATTACCCTGATAACAAAACCTTTCAAGAAAACACCAAAATAATAAAAAATAAAGCTTTGCTCCAATATTAATAATGAACATTGACACAAAAATTCTCAACGAAATATTACCAAACCAAAATACTAAAAACAAAATTCCTCACGGCCAAATGGGTTTTATCTCAGGAATGCTAAAATAGTTCAGCATAAACAAATCAATCAATGTGACAAAACATGTTAACAGAATGAAAGACAAAATCTGTATGACTGAATTGATGCTGACAATGCATTTGATAAAATTCAACATATCTTTATGATAAAATCCCTCATAAAACTGGGTATAGAAAGGCCGGGCACGGTGGCTCACGCCAGTAATCCCACCACTTTAGGAGGCCGAGGTGGGTGGATCACGAGGTAAGGAGATCGAAACCATTCTGGCTAACATGGTGAAACCCCGTCTCTACTAAAAAACAAACAAACAAAAAAAATTAGCTAGACGTGGTGGCGGGCGCCTGTAGTCCCAGCTACTCGGGAGGCTGAGGCAGGAGAATGGTGTGAACCCCGGAGGGAGAGCCGGCAGTGAGCTGAGATCATGCCACTGCACTCCAGCCTTGGAAACAGAGTGAGACTCCGTCTCAAAAACAAAACAAAACAAAACAAAACAAACAAACAAAAAAACTGGGTATAGAAGGAACATACCTCCACATAATAAAAGCTATATATGACAATCTCACAACTAGTATCATATGGAATGGGGAAAAACTGAAACCCTTTTTTAAAAAAAATGATTTGGAATACAACAAATATGCCTATTTTCACCAACTGTTACTCAACATTGTACTGGAAGTCCTAGCTGGAGCAATCAGACAAGAGAAATAAACAAAGGGGATCCAAATTGGAAAGGAAGAAATCAAATGATCCTTGTTCCCAGAAAATATGATCTTATATTTAGAAAAACCTAAAGACTCCAACAAAAAAAATATTCAAACTGATGAACACATTCAGTAAATTTTCAAGATAAAATATCAACATATGAAAATGAGTAGCATTTTTATATGCCAACAGTGAATAATCTGGAAAAGAAATAAAAATATAATCTCATTTAAAATAGCTACAATTAAATACCTAAGAATTAACAAAAGAAGTGAAAGATCTCTATAATTAAAGTAATAAAACAATGATTAAAGACATTGAAAAAGACTCACAAAAAAAGAAAGATATTCTATGCTCATGAATTGAAAGAATCAATCTTGTTAAAATGCCCATACTTCCCAAAGCAATCTACAGATTCAATGCAATCTCTATCGAAATACCAATAACATTCTTCACAGAAATAGGCAAAACATCCTCAAAATTTATATGGAGCCACAAAAAGCAAGAATAGTCAAGGTTATCCTGAGCAAAAATAACAACACTGGAGTAATAACATTACCGGAAATTAAATTATATGACAGGGCTATCATAACCAAAAAAGCATGGTCCTGGCATAAAAACAGACACAAAGACCAATGCAAAAGAACAGAGAACTCAAAAAGAAATCCATAGACCTAGAATAAACTAATTTTCCACAAAGATGCCAAGAACACACATTGGAGAAATGACAATCTCTTCAATAAATGGTGCTGGGAAAATTAAATAGCCTATTCAAAAGAAAAAATCTAAATCCCTGTCTCTCATCAAATACAGAAATCAAATCTAAATAAATGAAAGAGTTAAATTTAAGACCTCAAAGTATTAATCTACTGTAAAAAACATTGGGGAATCTCTCCAGGACATTGGACTCAGCAAATATTTTTTTGAGTAATACCCCACATACACAAGCAACAAAAGGAAAAATGAACAAATAAAATCACATCAAGTTAAAAGCTCCTGTACAGAAAAGGAAACATTTAACAAAGTGAAGAGACAATCCACAGAATGAGAGAAAACATTTGCAAACTACCCGACAATAGATTAATAACCAGAATACATAAGGAGCTCAAACTACTAAATAGGATAAAATCTGTTAATCAAATTTAAAATTAGGCCAAATATTTGAATAGACATTTCTCAGAAAAAGACATACAAATGGCACAGAGGCATACAAAAAGGTGCTCAACATCACTGATCATCAGAGAAATGCCAATCAAAACTATAATGCGATATAATCTCACTTATAGCATTTATATCCAAAAGATGGTTTATATCCAAAAGATGGGCAATAACACATGCCCATCCAAATATGGTTTATATGGTTTATATCCAAAAGATGGGCAATAATACATGCTGGTGAGGAAGTGAAGAAAAGGGATCACTTGCACACTGTTGGTGTAAATGGAAATTAATACAATTACTATGAAGAAAAGTTTCAATATTACTAGAAAAATTAAAAATAAAGCTACTATATCATTCAGCAATCCCACTTCTAGGTATATATTCAAAGAAAAAAAGTCAATATATCAAAGAATTATCTGCACTCCCGTGTTTATTACAGCAGTATTCACAATAGCCATGATTTGGAAACAACCTAAATATCTATCAGCAAACAAATGGATAAGGAAAATGTAGTACGTATACACAATGGAGTACTATTCAGCCATAAAAATGTTTAAGATTCTATCCTGTTATTTGCAAAGACTTGGATGAAACTGGAAATCATTATGTTAATTGAAATAAGCCAGACCCAGAAAGACAATCACATGTTCTCACTTACTTGTGGGACCTAAAACCCAAAGCAATTGAACTCAAGAAGATAGAGAATAGGATGGTTACCAGAGACTTAGAAGGGTGGTGAGAAGATGGATGAAAAGTTGGGATGGTTAATCATTACAGAAATAGTTACAAAAAATTAGTATGATCTAGTATTTGATAGCACAATAGAGTAACTATAATAAAAAATAATTTAAATATGCAGTTTAACATAACTAAAAGAGTATAATTTGATTGTTTATAACACAAAGAATAAATGCTTGAGGTGATGGATACTCCCTTTACCCTGATGTGATTATTACACATTATATACCTATATCAAAATATCTCTTACACAGCTATTTTTTACTCACAAAAAATTAAAAACAGTTTTAAATAAAAACTCAATGGGAATTTTTCACAAATGATTATTTTACCAAAAAAACCCTAAATTCATTCTACTATAAAGCATACATAAATTAAAAAAATTCTAAATATATAAATTCTTTGGAACCCAATAAATATAATGCCACCATGCAAATTAGATTTTTTTGAGAGTTAGAAAATAACACAACTGTTATTGAAAACATTGGATCTTTAATAAATGGATATTGCCAAACTATTTGTGATTATTCTTTCAAATGTATGACAGACATGACATTCTATTTATTGCTAAATATAACAATTCACATCATGTATTATAAAGGCTTGCTAAAATGTTTCTGGAGTTTTATTAGGACAAAATAAATAACTACAATATTGATTGGTAATCTGCCATGTTCTTCAGTTTTTTTAAATTAATGACTACAAAAGTAAAATTATGTCCCCCACAAGCTTAATTTATTTTATGCAAAGCTGGTAAATTCAGAATCCTAATAAACAGCACAAAACCAAAAATGTGCAATAAAAACAATGACTCTCAGAAAATCTCATTAAAATTTAATTAAACCCATTTCTTTCCAGTATTTATTTTTTCTACTTTGTAATATTCTTTCACTCTGCCACTTCTGATATTTGTCTAGAGGATAGATTACTGATAGATTTTCCTAATCTCATCAAGATTACTTTGAATTATTTGCAAAATATTTTTTCCGGCCAATTTTTTTCACCTCTTTCTCTAAAAAGTAGAAATCTGAAAGTAATCTGCTAAGGAGTCTAGTAGGAATGTTCTTGGCCCTTACAAATCTCAGGCGGAGAAACTATATTAAGTCACTGTCCATACATAATCCCAAACACACTGACCCCTAAGAAAGTGTGTCTGGCGACAAAGTTGCCAGACAGTCTACAATGCAAAGCAATTTTTAGTCCACTGGCCAAGAGAACTTAGTCCCACTAGCTTTGAGTTGATGCAAAACAGCTCCAGCTGGCACATACAGTGAAAGAAGAATGAGAAGTTTTTTATTGTTGTTTTTTTGTTTTTGTTTGTTTGTTTTTCTCTATTACAGAATATGAGAGAAAATGGAAAGCAATTTTTTTAAAACATCTATTCTGTGTGTGTGTGGGCACATGTATGTTTGTGTGTATGTGTAAAGACTCTATATTTGTGATCTATACTTGGAGAGAAAATACCATTGACTACTTATCCATTAACATCCATCTTAATTCTTATGTAGGGAAATTTAAAAATGCCTACAATTAATTTTCCATTGATTTCAAATCAAATATCAATCACTTACTAGATTCAAAATTATTGGATACCCCTAATGCTAAAATAACATAAGGAGAATTACTTTGGCTAATCATCTTCAGAATTAGAAGATTTTTAAACTTTTCATGGTTTCTTTCCCTTTGTTCTTGTAGTTAAAACTCCTTTTGTTCATACATCCTGCATTTTTTTCTCATTTCACAAAAGGTCATCTGAAAATCAGTTTCTAAAAATGATTTTTAATATGCCTGGCTTAATATTAATCAGGTTATTGAAATACGGAGATCTCACTATCACTTATCCCTCATGAAAGTAAATGGTTGTTTATACATGTATGTCTCTTTGATGGCTCCATAAGTTTCTTCAGAGTAAGGTCAAGTATCGATCATTTTTGTAATACCATTATCAAACATGACTTTTAGCATATAATATTGGGGGAACCAGCCCCCAATATTTCAACGTAGGTTCTTTCTATTTTCCCTAAGTGTCGGCCAGTCTGAGAAATACAGAGAAAGAGTACAAAGAGAGGAATTTTACAGCTGGGCCTCCAGGGGTGACATCACATATCCGTAGGTCCGTGATGTCCCCTGAGCCACAAAACCAGCAAGTTTTTATTAGGGATTTCAAAAGAGGAGGAAGTGTACGAACAGGGAGTAGGTCACAAAGATCACATGCTTCAAAGGGCAATAAAGATCACAAGGCAAGGGCAAAATTAGAATTACTGATGCAGGTGTATGTCCTGCTGTGCACATATTATGTTGATAAACATCTTAACAGAAAACAGAGTTTGAGAGCAGAGAACCTATCTGACCTCAATTTCACCAGGGTGGGGTTTTTCCCCACCCTAGTGAGCCTGAGGGTACTGCAGGAGACCAGGGCGTATTTCAGTCCTTATCTCAACCACATTAGACAGACACTCCCAGAGCGGCCATTTATAGATCTCCCCCCAGGAATGCATTCTTTCCCCAGGGTATTCCTTGCTGGGAAAAGAATTCAGCCATATCTCTCCTACTTGCACATCCGTTTATAGGCTCTCTGCAAGAAGAAAAATATGGCTCTATTCTACCTGACCCCACAGGCAGTCAGACCTTATGGTTATCTTCGCTTGTTCCATAAAATCGCTGTTGTTCTGTTGTCTTTCAAGGTGCACTGATTTCATACTTTTCAAACACACATGTTTTACAATCAGTTTGCACAATAGTGGTCCTGAGGTGATGTACATTCTCAGCTTATGAAGATAACGGGATTAAGAGATTAAAGACAGGCATAAGAAATTATAAGAGTATTATTAGGGAAGTGATAAATGTCCATGAAATCTTCATAGTTTATGTTCCTCTGCTGCGGCTCCAGCTGGTCTCTCCATTCAGGGTCGCTGACTTCCTGCAACAATATAACAAGTACTTTATAAATGTAGGAATAATAAATGAATAAATTAATACATTCACATTCATAGAAAGTTATATAGAAAATTCTATAAATAAAGTAGGAAGTGTACCACTAAACATCATGAATAATTAGTCATTTAAGACTGTTTTCCCTATTAATTTAAAATAGAAATACTTTAATTGAATGACTGATATCTCTAATTAGTCAATATTTTTCTTTAAGGTTTGAATAATCAGAAGTTATGCTTTGAAAAGTCATTTTTTGGTAAGTCTTTGTAGGGTAGCAAAAAATGACTTTTGGCCAAGCTCACAGACTCAAACCTGTAACCACAGAACTTTGCAAGGTTGAGATGGGAGAATGGCTTGAGTCCAGGCATTTCAGACCAGCCTGGGAAACAGCACAACCCCATCTTTATTAGAAATAATGACTTTTCTTCACCCTTCTAGTTCTTTTGACTAGACTATGAATTAAATTGACATAAGACAGATTAACAGGAGGAAAAAACATATTTAATTACATATATCTGCATTGCTGTCTTACAAAATATGAGACTCAAGGGTCAGATCACTGATATTTATATAGCATCTTGACCTACAGAGAAGTATAGGGGCTTGGGGATTCTGGGTGGTGGTGGCAACAAGTTACAGGAGGATAAGGGAAGGAAATGCATGGTGAATAAAAGTTGTCTTGTTATGTGAATAAAAAGTCTCTCAGGTAATAAAACCTCTCTTGAAGCAGCTCTCAGAAGAACAAGTGAGAGTCTGTCTAGGCCTGAAGTCACTATAGTCTTGTCTCCTTTGATCCAAATTTATCTTCCCTGGTTGACAAGATTTCTGTGGAGGGGATTCATGACAATCAAGTTCTTTTTGGAAGATCTATCTTTAAGTAGACAAGCAGAGCTCTGAGAAAGCCTCTGCCTGCATTACCTGTTCCCCAAGTGAACTTAGTTCAAAGTAATAAACATACCAAATCATATTTTATGGTGGCATTTTCTGAATTTCTTCATTTTTGTTATTCTCAATTCATTAGGCATGGTTTAGGACATAGGAATAACTAAATTTAATAGGTAATTTGAAACTTAATTAAATATATTGATATTTTCTTTCAGAAACACTTTTAGAAGATTAGTAACAAAGATAAATGACAAGTTTCAATTTTAAGTCTTTTTTTTCCTACCTACCATCCAATGTAAAGAGTATGAGTAAACAAGTGGTCTGAATGCTGGCAACCATAGGCTAGCATTAGTAAACTTTTATAATCTGAAAATGATTTACAATTGTTTCTATTTTCTTATTATAGTTCAAATTATGTCCCTTTCACTAAGGAGAATATAATGTTTTCTGAAAAATAGGTTGCAGATCACTTTATGGCTAAGGAGACAATAAAATGGGATGTAAATTTGAGGAGTAAATTATGGACATTTTTTCCTTTGCCTGAATGCACATTTCTAACATTTAGATATGGGAAAAGAAGCACTCATATTATTTAAAGTATAAACATTAATACATTAGCAAATCACTAGGCTGCCTTAATATAATTTTAGAAAAAATATATAGAAAATATGTTTTATATAAAATGTATCACGATTAACCTTTAAAGAACATCAAATAAAACCAAAAGTTATCTTTAATCACTCTATAAGAAGAATACATTCAACACATTTGTAGTAGCAAACAGAAATTATTAATATTAGTTTATGTCAAATTCTGTAGTCATGACTACCTCTGCTTGAGTTGAATTTGATGTGCAAAAATTTACAATTTTAAAATATCCATTACTTATTTATTTATGAATCTTATTGTGAGTGGCCTATATAGTGTAGTGTTTGTTCATATGTGATTAGAGAAACATCTTAGGGCACATTTGACAGATCAAAATTCACAAAGTTTATACTTTGATGGAAATGTCAATATATTGAAACAATATTTTAACTTTTTTACATCTATTTTTAATTTATAATTTATATATTTTTTGTGATAGCAAATGCAATTCAGAAGGCTTTTTAACATTGGCATTGACAAAGGAGTCTATTATAAACTCCAATTTGAATTGTGTTAATTTGTCTACATTCATACATATGTCCAATTACCTACCTGTTAATTCATTTACTCAGTAAGTCAGCATCCTTTTTCTGGGCACCACAGTAGGTACTAGAGATACAAAGATGAATAATAATTATGGTTTTTTTTCCCCAGAATCTGACTTCTTAGCATGGGAGATGTTGGAATAAATAAAACATGAAGTGCGTTATAGGAATGCTGTGAAAGCTCAGAAGAAGAGGAGTCCAAGAATGGTCCTATGCACATTGTACTCGATCTGGTTCTTAAATCATAAGTTGGAAAATTTTATGTTAAGAAAGTTGGTGGAAGTAAAATTTTATGAACAAGAAAGGGCATGTGCAAAGGCCCTACATATTTAGGTCAAAAACTTCAAAGGGCAATTAAAATTGCTTTATGGTTGTATCATAAAATGACCAATTTTATTAGCTAATTAAATGTGAGGCTTTAGAGACAAGAGAATTCGAATTTGGCTCTCTAATTTCTAATTTAAAAGACTAAGGAGATTATGATAAAGTTAACTCTTTTAAAATGGGTAAAGAATTGGGGAAAGTAGTAAGTTTTGTTTTGCACATAATTAGTTTGGCAAATTTGAAAACAGTCAAGTGGAGATGTCCAGACTGTCTTTGAAAATGTGGGACTGTAAATAGTTCTTGCCTATTAGGAAAAACAAGTTGATTTGGAACTGAAAGCAGGTCTACACACTCAGCGCTGTCTAATTAACAAGAGAGAGGTCTTGTACAAAGAAAGTGACTTATTCCAAAGTTAGTTTAGGGGAAGAGGTACAGATTTCTTGCCTTTAAGGATACCCTTCACTTTTGAAGCAGAACATGGAAATTTTTAAAAGTCAGGAGAGGAAGTGAGCAAGGTTGGGGAATCTGCATGCTACCTTGGTGCATTACGTACTGGGCAGTGAGGCTGGCGTCTTCATGGGTAGAAATAGGTTGTAAAGGTCACCAATATCTCTCCAGGAGAGAGATAGTAGCAGGCATGCTTTTGACTATTATCTTTTTTTAAAAAAAATTTTTTTATTATTATACTTTAAGTTCTAGGGTACATGTGCACAACTCGTTACATATGTATACACGTGCCATGTTGGTGTGCTGCACCCATTAACTCGTCATTTACGTTAGGTATATCTCCTAATGCTATCCCTCCCCCCTCCCCAACCTCATGAGAGGCCCCGGTGTGTGATGTTCCCCTTCCTGTGTCCAAGTGTTCTCATTGTTCAATTCCCACCTAGGAGTGAGAACACGCGGTGTTTGGTTTTCTGTCCTTGCTATAGTATGCTCAGTATGATGGTTTCCAGCTGCATCCATGTCCCTGTTAGGGACTGTCATCTTTTGAGGCAACTTCCTGGTGGGTGTGAGTTCTGTAGAACACATCCTTTGTTCTAAAAATTGATTGTTATCTCTCAAAGCAACCTCCTGGTGGGTAGGCATTTCATGTTGGAGGCATAGACAGATGAACTTGCCCTGTGGGGAGTGCCTGGGGAAGGGAAAGTAAATATTATATTCGCATGTCTAAAGGGTTAAGTAGAAAGATTTAGCCCTTTAGAACAGGGAGAATGGAGAAAGAAAATACTGAAAAAAAAGTAACACATTTTCTATTTCATAGAAAAATGGGGTTACTAAAGTAGTTTTCTTGTTTGTTTCTGACAAACGATGGAGAAGTATTGTGCTAGCAAATGGAACAGGGTTTGTCAACCTCAGCACTTTTAAAATTTTGGAGCAGGTAAGTCTTTATTGTGGGGGTCTGTCCTTTGTATAGTAAGACATTTATCAGCCTCACTGACCTTAACACACTAGATGCACTAGTACTGGGCTCAAAGTTAGAAAAAAAAATCAACCTCCAAAAATTTCCAAATATCTCTTGGATATTGTGGGGGTGGGGTGGGAAAGAAGCAAAATAATTCCCAGTTGAGAAACGCTGCTCTAGAAAGATGACCACTCTTAAGAATAAGGAAGATACGATTAACACTTATTATAAGACTGGCTATAATTAATTTTTGGATATACAAAGGAAATAGGAATCTGTGGGATTTTATAGGAATCTGTGTGACTCATGGACAAGTTTCAAAAACAGGCAGGTTTTGAACTTGATCACAATAAACAAAACATATATACATATTATATGTATATATATGTATATATTTATGTATATATGTATATATTTATGTATACATATATATTTAAAGTTCAGTAAATTAATGGGCCATGGAAGGCAATGAAACAAAAGATGGTGACAAGAGTAATATATTGTCAGATTCCCAGTAAAAAGTTACCAGAACTATATAATTTTAGGATGTCAATAAACACCTATTATAAATTTGGAATAATGAGGCAAACATTGTTTGAGAAGTAAAGTACTGTATAGGATTTCCTGTCTAGATAAGATAGCATAGCTCCTCTTGTCCTCCTCCTCCCTGCTGAGTACAACTATAAATCCTGGAATTAACAGACGAGACAAACAAAGAAGAACTCTGAAAGATGGTAAGAGAAGTGTGAACTTGGGGACCTAAGAACTGGAAGAACATAGGGGCAGGGCTTCTTATGTTCCCCCTCTACAAAACCAACTGAAGAGAAGCATACAGGCCAGCATTTCCTGACACCAAACCAAGCAAGAAAGGACAGACCAGGTAGGCTAACTACTCCCATGGACTGAATGGTAGTCCAAACAAGAAGGCCAGATTGCACCACCTAAAAGGAGGATCAATAGGGACAATAAGCTGCCAGGGAAATGCCCTCCTTTCTCATTGTAGTCATTATCATTATCATTGTGCCTGAGATATTTTACCCCTGCTTGGAGATACAGAGACAGAGACAAGCTTATGGAACTGACCAAGGGGATAAGGGGATCCTGTCTCAACAAGCCACCCATGCTCAGAAGTGGTTTCTGTTCCACACAAAAAGAATCTTGAAATAATAAGCACTCAGACAGAGAAACACTCTTCTGCAGTGTAGGCTGGAGGCTTCCTTCCCCCTCCTAGAGGTACCAGACTGCCCTGTCTAATTAGTCTGCTTTAGTCTGTCATGCAGCATCAGCAAAGAACAACTGGAAGCCTCAGCAACACCAGATAATTCAATCAGAATAAAGAAACATCATAAAGGCTCCAAAAATTTGACTTCCAATAGAAGCACAACCCACAGAAGTAGGCCAAACAATCCAATTAGAAAATGGGCCAAAGACACAGAGAGACATTGTACCAAAGAGAATATATAGAAGACAAATACACATGTGAAAATATATTCAACAGAATATAATTTAGTTGGCAACATAGGTCAATTGGAATAGTCAAATGGACGATTGAATTATTATGTTGAAAACAGTATTTTTATTTTAACTGTCAATGTAGGGTGGAAAAAAAAGATATCTGGATGACGAATCAGAAGACCCAGTTCTTGTTTCAGTTTTACCATGTGTTAGTTTCATAATTTGGGTGTTCAATAAATTTTTGTTGAATTAAATTAAGGTAAATTACATTCTTATAAGTTGTTTCTTTATTTGTTAAGCAAATGTAACAGAGTATTGCAAGGTACTATAGTTGAAACTGAACCACATTTTTTTTAAGTTACCTGCTAGTAGAGAGGAAAAACTGCTATTTTAAAAATTCCTGCCAATGTTTGCCAATATAAAGGCAAATTACTCTCGATGATAGATTGCTGTCCTTTGTAATGGAGAATCATTTACCGCATCTTTTGTTTGTACCAAGCTAAATCTAGATTCTAATATGACATGGGAAAATAAAGCTAAATTGCTTTGCATAATAATATTGCAATTTTGAAAATTAGCTTAACTTTCTTTGGAATTTATAGTTGCAGAGAGCAAGACTTGAGGCAGGGGAGACATGATCAAGGGTATTCACAAGAGATAAAGGTGAGGTAGTTAAGGTTGTTAGATCTGTAGACTCTAAGAAAGGTCCATTCAGCTTTAAGTTTCTATGTGCCATGATTCCATTCCATTACAACAAAGACTTTAGTAAAAATCTCATTTAAAATTGCAAAGAGATCTTGGCCTTTGCTGTAGAAAATTGAGGGGAGAGTGCCAGATGGATTTATTAAGTAGTTTTGACTCATAGTAATAACCTTTCTTTCACCATCTACCTAAGCATATATTTATGTTCCTTCTTTTGACTGCTCTTCAGGCCACAAGTACTTTTCAGCTACCTAGAACTCTTCATTGGCCAGAGTTAACTCAGCCAAACCAGCCTTACCAACTGCAGGCTCTTCCTTCTCAGACCTTTCACCCTGATATAGTTCGGATATTTGTCCCCTCCAAGTTTCATGTAAAAATTTAATCCAAAATGTTAAAGGTGGGGCTTAGGGGGGAAGTGTTTGGGTTATCGGGGCAGATCCCTCATGAATTACTTGGCGCCATCCTCACAGTAACAAGTGAGTTCATAGTTTGTGCAAGAATTGATTGTTAAAAAGATCCTGGCACCTCCTCTCCCTTGCTCCGTCTTGCCATGTGACACGCCTGCTCCTCTTTCCCTCTGCCATAATTGAAAGCTCCCTGGGTCCCTCACCAGAAGCAGATGCTGGTGCCATGTTTCTCGTACTGCCTGCAGAACCATAAGCCAAATAAACCTCTTTGTAAATTTCCTAGCCTCATATATTCTTTTATAGCAATGCAAATGAAGTAAAACCTCCCCCAAAACAACTTTCTATTTTAATCCACTGACTTTACTTGTAGCTTGATAATTAATCTGATTTAATAAATGCATAAAATATTTATAAAATATTCAAAATATGTAACATGTATGCAATATTTATAATATACAACTATATTCAATTGTAGCTGAAAATAATATTATATAATATAATTTTATATACAAAGGGTCAGGGAAGCTAATTTTTTGCCATATACAGAACTAGGCTTTTTATTTATCATGATGATGATGAGGAGGATGGTGATGATGATGATTTTAGAGACAGAGACTCACTTTGTCACCCAGGCTGGAGTTCAGTAGTGTGATCATAGCTCACTGCACCCTTGAACTCTTGAGCTCAAGCAATTCGCTTACTTCAGCCTCTCCAGGATCTGGGACTACAGGCACATGCCACTGCACCTGGCTAATTTCTTTTCTTTCTGTTTTTTGTGAAGATGAAGTCTCACTTTCTTGCCCAGGTAGGTCTTGAACTCTTAGCTTCAAGTGATCTTCCCCCCTCAACCTCCTTAAAGAGGACTATGTCAATCTAAATGATTGTGTTTCTCTTGGAAAATTTCAAATTTTTTGGAGCGGAGGATGACATGAATAGCTTCTTCAAATTATGTCATAAATCCACCAACCCCAGCTCTTTATAAATACTATGTTTTTATTTCAAAGTCAGCATTTGTCCATATTTTGCTGGTTTCACTGCTGCCTTTGTTCTTTTGTTTCGAGTCACACATGTTTTTTCTCACCCTTACTCTCAACTCTTCTCTATGAACTGTAAAAGGATTAGTAAAAACAGATGGTGCCATTGAAAGCCATTGTCTACTAATTCTTAAAAAGATAACCTAATTGTCTTGTTCTTCAGGTGATCTTTCTCATTATCTCTCATGACAAAATTAAAGCCTAAATTTAGTCCTTAGGATTCATATATGCTTACCATTTTTGTCCTTAAAAATATACTTAACATCTATTACAGAATACATAGATTCTCAAATCCAATTAAAGCATGCCAGGTACATAAATATAATTAGACTACCAGGTAATGTTAAACAGATTTCCACCCTGGTCTTTCACAGACCTTGATACGTACACTGGAGTCTATTCTTTGCCATTTCAATTTGTGGAACTTGTTTTGCTTTATAGAACCTCCTCTCGAATGTTCTCAAAACACTGTGCTCTATAACTTGAATCCTTGTATTACTTAAATTCTCAGGAAGTGGATACCTGGTAACTGAAAGCAAATCTGCACAATCTTTTTGTTCTCCTGAAATGTTGAAAAGCATTTAAAGTTATTCCTGTGTGATAAACAATGAAATTGAATTCCAAGAGGTTAAATAACTTGTCCGAGTTTGCAAAAAAAGACAATCACTGAACTACATTTGAATTCAGGGCTGATTTTCAAAGTTTATACCCTTTATAACGGATCAGTAGTTTTAAAGTTGTTCATTATGGGAATTCTCACAAAGCCTACTAGGTGCATTCATAATTTTGCATGTGTATGTTAAGGGGAGAGAATGAAGGCTACCACTGCTCCAATAAATAACATTATTATAAATCTAGCATGTAACAGAATATTTTCGTATAGTATAATTTACAAACTCTGAAAAATGAACAACTATTTTGTATAAAATGCTTAAGCAATTTTTGGATATAATATGATGTGATTAAGGGCTTTTCTAGGAAATTGTCAAAGGCGATTAAACCAGAGCAACTCCATCTTGAATAGGGGCTGGGTAAAATAAGGCTAAGATCTACTGGGCTACATTCCTAGATGGTTAGGCATTCTAAGTCCCAGGATGAGATAGGAGGTCAGCACAAAATACAGGTAATAAAGACCTTGCTGATACAACAGGTTGCAGTAAAGAAGCTAGCTAAAACCCATAAAAACCAAGATGGCCAAGAGAGTGACCTCTGGTCATCCTCACTGCTACCCCACGAGTGCCATGAGAGTTTACAAGTGCCATGGCAACATCAGAAAGTTACCCGACATGGACTAAAAAGAGGAGGAACCCTCAACTCCAGGGAAATGCCCACCCCTTTCCCAGAAACTCCTGAAAAATGTACTGCTTGTTTAGTATGTAATCAAACAATAACCACAAAAATGGGCAACCAGCAACCCTGGAGTAGCCATTCTTTATTCCTTTATTTTCCTAATAAACTTGCTTTCACTTTATTCTGCAAACTTGCCCTGAATTCTTTCTTGCACGAGATCCAAGAACCCTCTCTTGGGGTCTGAATCAGCACCCTTTTCTGGTAACAAAATTAGTTGCTTGGTACCTCTGTTAGGCCCCAGAGAGAAAGTCCCATGCCCTGGGCCCTGTAGTGAAGGAAAAAAATAGCATGCCTCCACCCATTTAAGTTATTTGGCTTGGCTATAAATTAAATTAGCATAAGACCGATGAAGAGAAAAAAATACCTTTTTAATTACATGCACATTCACAAGAATCCCACAGAAATATGAAACTTAAAGAAAGGACAGATGATCAGGACTTGTATAGCATCCTGAGCTATAGAAAAACATAGGGGCATGCGGCTTCTGGGAGTGGTGACGACAAATTTTAGGAGGATTAGAAGAGGAATGTATGGCAAACAAAGGTTGCCTTTTTGTGCAGATAAAAGTCCTTCAGGTAATAAAGATGGTCTTAGAGGAGCTCTCTTCTTGACACAGATATTCTTACTAGTAACAATTCTGTTTATAGATGTAAATTTTTTTCATAAAAAGGCAGCTTTTCAGATCTACTACTGTGTCTGCAGTCTCTCAAAATAAGCAGATGAAAATAATAATATGGCAAAGAGGTTGACAACCAAAATGAGTGATTGAGGCATAAGTCTCAAATGAGTGTTTATTAAGCCAGCTTGAGGCTGCACCTAGGAAAAACGCAAGTTACAGAAGCATTGGTGACTGTTTTTCCAAAAGACATTCTCAGGAGGTTTTGCATTTTTACGTTATTTTTCAAAGCAGGGGGCAGCAGTGAGAAAAAATGATCACATACTTGTAAGACTTCAGTTAGTGTCCAGTAAACCCACATTTTACCTAAGATAAGGTGAACATTTGAAGGAAAAGGGATTAGGGGAAGTAGACTTCTCACAGAGAGGTGTAAGAATGATTAATCTCATCTAGTCTCAGGGAAAGATGAAGAAATGATTAATCTAATCTTGTCATTGTTCTGTACCTGCAAATATAAGCTAGTAGTTTTTTGAAAGGGCTAGTTTCTGTTTAATTCTTAGGGAAGAAAGCCTAATGGCTGTTAGAGAAGGAAGGGGTATAATGAAGTGTATCTAATCTCCCATCCTGTCATGGCTAGGAACTCACCTTCCAAGGTTTCTCTGAGGTTTCTGTGGCCAAGAGAGGGTCTGTTTAGTCAGTTAGGGGTATAGAATTTTATTTTTATTTATCAATGTATATTTTGGGGTTGCACGTTTTAGTCTCCTGCAGTCACATTTTGGGGTGCTATGTCCTCAGCCCTGCTTTAGAGGAACCCACTCTGTATATTTTATGGCTACATCACTTTCCACAGCATGAAGAGACCACAGGTCAAGTGAACATGTGCACCTGGGTCTCTAGCCTCTACCTGTTTCTTAGACCACTCTCTACTATAAAGAAGCCAGGAAATGTCACAAAAATATGTCATTTTTGTATGCTACTTACTTTGAACTGAGGGTACTTTGGGGGCAGTAGTAGCCAGAAGAAGCCTTGTCTGTCCAGAGACAAATCCTCCAATAAATACTCAATTGTCACCCATTCTCTCCCCAGGGGTTTTGTTAAACAGGAGTTTTACTCTCATCACAGGAGAGTAAAACTAGAAGTTGGCATCACACTCAGATAAACTGATGCAAACTATCATATTGAAGCAGCCTCGTCATCTGAGGTAACACCCAGGCTTCAATATCTCACAGCCATGGAGATCAAGGATGTGGACACACAAAGGGTGAAGTTTAGAGCAGAAATTTAATAGATGAAAGAAAGAGAATAGCTCCCTGGTACAGAGAGGGGTCCCAGAAAAATGGGTTGCTGATTCACACTTTGGATATAGAGGCTTTTATAAGAAACCAACAGAGGGGCTGGGCATCTCATTTGTATAAGGTGTGCATTACTGGTAGTTCTGCCCCATCCTCCTAGTGTGCATGCAGGCCCTTAACTTGAGTTATTCCATCTTCCTTTGTTCTCCTTACTGCAAATGTGTCAGGGGTTGGAATTTTCCATTGTTGGCATGTCTTTGCAAGTCTCCTCTGTAGACTTTCTCATCTGTGTGGCTGTGGGGATGTCTTAGCCAAGCCCCCTGGGCAAGTTCCTTTATGTGTTCCTGCAACTTGATTTTTCAGGCTGTGTTTTTATTTGAAAGAATTCAACTAAGGACCCACCCTAACTGTCTGCCTGACCAGTTTTTTCTTTTCTCCTCTCTCAATATCTTCTCCTAAAGCCCCATTCATCTTTTCTGAAATCATATATTCTCCTCTAAGCTCCCTATATCTCCTCTCCCCTATGAAGAGTATATATAAGCTTCTACATCTCACTGGATTTTGGGATTTTCACTTTTTTTTTTTTTTTTTTTTTTTGCTGTGATGCCCCTGTGCATAGAATACATTTGTATGCCTTTTCTGCTGTTAATTTGTCTCTTTCAGGTTATTTCATAGATGCAGTTATCAAAACCTCAGAGAGTAGAGCAATAGAGAAAATCCTTTCCTCCCCTAAATATGAAATCCAAGACATTATCTGCCCAAATGGCTCTGAGTTTAAAACTTACCTGAGCTTTTTCCCTGGATCCATCCAACTAAGGTAGAAAATCTGGTAGTGTGTATAACCCTAGGTTTGAGGTTTAGCCAAGAGGTAGCCGAATGCAAAGGTGAAAGTGTGGACATAGCTTTGACATGCAAACTGAGGTGTCAACACACCTGCATTCAAGACTCCTTGATGTATAGTTCACAAAAAACAGGGATGGGAAGAGACGAGAGACAGATTATGGATGGTTCTCCTGGAATTGCCACATACGATACATAATTCTAAAGAATCTGAGAGTTCTGAGCCAGAATCTGATCTTCCAGGTCTTTATGAAACTATATCTTGTCAAGAAGATATTTTGCTAAACAGTTAGCTTAATTTATAACTTGTAAATATTTATTCATATTGTTTGTAAACCTCCATGTATACTCTTGCCTCAGGCCCTGGAATATATTGGGCAATTTTGTTGGTTCTTTCTTCAACTGGCCATCAGCTTAATTTCAGTAAGATGTCAAATAATAGCTAAATGGAAATTATTTTCCTTGCATCCAATTTATGGATAATAAATTGGATAACAATAATAAATAACAATGTTTTTTTTTTTTCTTTCTTTCTTTCTTTTTTAAGACAGGCGTTTACTTTGTTATCCAGGCTAGAGTGCCATGGTGCAATCACAGCTCACTGTAGCCTTGACCTCCTGGGCTCAACAGATTCTCCTGCCTCAGTCTCTTAAGTAGCTGAAACCATAGGCATGTACCAAATTGCTTGGCTATATTTTTTAAAAATTTAGAGACAGGGTCTCACTGTGTTTCCCAGGCTGATCTAACTACTGTGCCCAAGCCATCTTCCTACCTCAGCCTTCCAAAGTATTGGGATTACAGGTTTTAGCCACCACACCTGCCTTAACAATAATTTTCTAATAATTCTATTTTTCTATGAAAATGTTCTAGTTGGAGGTTATATTTGAATTGACCTCTTTTTTGTTTTTATTTGTAATTTTTATGGGTACATTTTAGGTGTATATATTTATAGGGTACATAAGATGATTTGATACAGGCATGCAATGTGAAATGAGCCTATCATGGAGAATGGGGTATGTATCTCCTCAAGCATTTATCTTTTGAGTTAAAAAACAATCCACCTACAATCTTTATTTTAAAATGTACAGTTATTATTGAGTATCATCACCCTATTATGCTATTAAATATTAGGTCTTATTTATTCTTTTTATTTTTCTGTACCATTAAACATCCCCAACTCTCCTCCAATCCCTGGCAACCCTTCCTAGCTTCCTGTAGCCATCCTTCTACTCTCGATGAATTGACCTGGACCTGTTTTAGGTCTCCCCTCTTACAAATTTGAAACAATACTTTGACACGTACTTATAACTATATTGAATAAATTATTTTAAGTCACTCAAACCTGAATTTCAACCAGAAACATTCTATTTTTAATCTATTTTATTAAAAAAATTAATTGTAGTGTATGTGACCCAAGGTTTTCCTAGCTAAACCAAGTTATTGAAATCTTCCACACTAGAACATACTGTGCTTATGTAATAAATTGGTAGCTAAATGGATTACTGGGACTTGATAAACCATACTCCGAGATGAAGTCCCCAGAAATAGCTTCAGAAGCAAATTTTTCTCTCTGATTTTTTCTGCCCTCCTGTTTCTGACCCCCTCATTCTTGCCTGAGGCTAGAAATAGAAACTAGAATCCCTCTTCTTCAATGCAAGTCTTACAAACCAGAATCTTTTTTCCCCAAAGCTAGCCATAAAGCCTAAAAATATTACTCTAACTCTCCTTCTGCCTTTCTTTGTAAAATCAGGTCATAAGGACATAATCTAAGCTACCATGTTTGGTTGAAGGTAATAACACCCTCCCTCCAGAAAGAATTCTGCCCCACACACAGAAAGAAAGAATACTGCATAGAGAGGCCAAAAAGCATGTAAATGGACAGAAATTGCTGGGTTTCCCCTTTCAGTCTGTTAAGATTATCTAATCATATTTCTACATGTCTACACCTATGCATAAAAATGGACAACTTCCCCTGTGTCTTTGGGTCTTCAGTCTGAAGCCTCTCATTTCTTATAAAACTATAAACACATAAATTTGTATACATTTTCTTCTATGAATCTCCCTTTTGCCAATGATTTTCAATGAATCTTCAGAGGCAAAAAGGGAAGCTTTTTCTATAGGATGATTAAAAAATGAAAAGAATGAGTGAATAAATGAATAGATAAATTTTTAAAAAATGTCTATGCAGTGAAAGTATTTTGTCCTATGCAAGGTTCACATTCACAATCTACAGAAAATGAGGTTAGTCCTTTAATTCCTGTGTCATAACAGTGTAGTAGAGTGGACAGAGACTAGATTTTAGGTTAATGTAGACCTGTGTCAGAGGCGTAT
Source organism: Homo sapiens (assembly GCF_000001405.40). Classification (NCBI taxonomy): domain Eukaryota; kingdom Metazoa; phylum Chordata; class Mammalia; order Primates; family Hominidae; genus Homo; species Homo sapiens. The sequence continues at coordinate 88,941,947 of NC_000023.11, read as the reverse complement.
GAACCAAAGCAACACCATGTTGAATAGAAGCTAGGTACAATGAGGCTGAAACCTACTGGGCTGTATTCTCAGATGGTTAAGGCATTTTGTCACAGGATGAGATAGGAGTTTGGCACAAGATACAGATCATAAAGACCTTGCTGATAAAACAGGTTGCAGTAAGGAAGCCAGCTAAATCCCACCAAAACCAAGATGGCCACAAGAGTTACCTCTAGCCATCCTCACTGCTACACTCCCACCATTGCTATGGCAGTTTACAAATGCCATGGCAACGTCAGGAAGTTACCTGTATGGTTTAGAAAGGGGAGGCATGAATAATCCTCCCCTTGTCTAGCATATCATCAAGAAATAACCAGAACCATAAAAATGGGCAACCAGCAGCCCTTGGGACTGCTCTGTCTATGGAGTAGCCGTTCTTTTATTCCTTTACTTTCCTAATAAACTTGCTTTCACTTTACTCTACAAACTTGCCCTGAATTCTTTGTTGCATGAGATCTGAGAACTCTTTCTTGGGGTCTGGATCAACATCCCTTTCCTGAACATCTTTCTGGTGACCATGAAGCAACAATACTGAGGAGACCCCTCCCACTCAAAGGAAATAGACTGCAGCACTGATTGTCCAACTTTGGGTAAGTGGGGTGCATATATCCAGGTAAAGAATGGGATTGGGTTAGAGGCCCAACTTAAGGGAGTTAGAGTGTCTCCTAGGATGGACTGGGTTAGAGGGCCCTCTTAATAAAAGGCAAGGACGCTTGAAGGGCCTTGGGTTGGAGGCCCAACTTAAGAGGATTAGAGTCCCTTCTAAGATTTAGGGGATTAGGCGCCCCTCTCAGTAAAGTCCCACTTGTAAAATCTCTCTTGTCTAAGAACGGGTTTGGCACTGCGGGATGTTAACTTCTATTCTCTTTAGAATAATCTGCCTTGTACTCTTTGCTGACAGTTGTGGGTGACAGGATTCGGTATGCACAGGATCATGGGACATAGGGAGCTTTTTCCTCCCAAAAAAGGGGAAATTTGAGAGCTGATGTGACTGCTGGAAAAGATCCCTTCACAAATGACAAGCAGCCGCCTGAACTTTTCAGTGTTGACTGTAATGAATGGGTCTTCCTCTGGCTTCCCTGAGTGCCTCCCCTTCCCCATCCTGCCTCAGGCAATGCTCTCCTCTTTCTCTCTCTCTGTGCAAACTGGTTGAATGAACGGTAAAAATCACTGTTTATCTTCTCTGTAAAGTTTTGATTAACTGTAGTGAATTTGGTGTGCTTTGTGTGTCTTTCTGTGTTCTGTAATGGAGGGAGTACCTTAGAATAGAACACAGGCTTAGGGCACTTGTAAGCCCGCTTTTCAAGACAGCCCAGCAGACTGCTCAGTTACAAACTTCATTGCAATTACCTGAAAAAATCTGGATGAGGTTTCCTTCTTGTCTTGTATGTCCTTGGGAGCTTGACCTTGTAAACCTATGGCCATCCTTTCTCTTTTCACAATGGTGTCCTGAGTTCAGAGTCCAATTCCTGGCTTAGAGAATAAATGAGTCCTTTATCTTCTGTCTGTCTGTGTATTTATATGTGTTGTGTGTGTAACATAAAAAAAAGCTTTAATTGGCTTAAAAATAATAAGTGGTTAAATCAGATATTTTGCCAGAAAAGTAAAAAGTGTAATGCCTTTTAGTTCATATGACTTTAATAATCTTTTGGAAATAAAGATAGTTTTAAAGATTATTGGTAAAACAAAAATATCTTCAAAAATATAAACGTTTGGTCTAAATTACATAGGTCAGATATTAAGTTTACTAAATGCTTTAAGGTCATAAACTGCTTCTTTGACTTTTGAAAATTGTTTAATTTACCTACCTTGAAACATTAGATTCTAGATAAGGCCTGGGGACATGTGGAATTAGCCATGCCCTCTAACTATGCAAAGAAAATTCTTCATAAAATGCCGCTATGACTCAACTGTACAACTTGCCTGCTTTACAGCTAGGTAAGACCTAGGACATGTGGAGTTAGAAAGACCCTTACCTGCACTTCTGCCTGGTGTGTCCTAGGCTAGGCTACACACCTAGTACATAATTAAAATCCCAAATTTACCAAGGTTTTCACCAAAAGTAAAAGTCACTGAGAGTTAACATTGTAACATGTATTTCAGACTACTGAAAAAACAGTTCTACACATGAAGTGTGTAAGGGAAGTAGAATATATTAATACTTTTGGTAAAAGATTATAAGAAGTGATGGGAATGTAGATTTTTTTTCTGCCTAAATTAAAGGGTTAAAAATTGTTTTAAGTTAGGATAAAGCTGAAGGTTTAAACAAGTTGTGGAAGGTTTGTGAAAAATTAATTGTAAAAGAAATTAATTCTGTGTGTGAACATTTTGGCTAAAGTTAAAGGGGTATTATTCGGTTTTTCTATAAATTAAGCATTAAAGTAAAAGCACAACAGGTTTTTCTTAGAGCAAAAACCTGCTTATAATATGCTCTTTAACAAAAAAATTGTAAAGAGTTATAAAATGTTTAAAAGAATCTTACCTTATGGTCAAACTAATTAAGATTAAACATATTTGTCTATAAGGTTTTCTTAAGAATTGGGTTTGATGTCAATAATGCACTAATGCAATGGTGACATTTGGCGTATTTGGTATAAAAATCATACTGAAAGCATTGTCAAATATGAAATTGTGTTTAGTGTTCTTTGGGCTGTATTTGCATTAATATTTGGTATATGTTCCAAATCATGGGAAACTCTTCTAATTCTAATATGGCTTAGTGTATGTTATTAATAGTTATAATTTTTATGTAAACTTTTATATGCCACAAAGGTAACCAAATTTCTTTGTCAATTGTGTTTTTGATGGTGGCTGTCCTAAGGCTTTTTATCACCCACAGATCATTGTTGTCTGGTTTTAATCCTCTTTAGAAGGTGGTTTATAGTCAGCTATAGAACTCTAACAGGTGTCATTAAATGCAGGTTTCTAATCACTTTAGAAATTGTGATGTTAGAATAAAAGAAAATCTTTCAGGATTCATGGAGGGCTGAAATGTTTGTGACTATTAACTGCATAAACTAAAGAAGTCTGAAGTAATCTTTTTAACTTTGTGTGAAATGCTTGTATTAGTCCATTTTCACACTGCTGATAAAACATACCCAAAACTGATCATTTTACTGGAACCTCCAGCACACTGCAGACACCATACAGGGAGGAGCCCAGTCTCCTTCCTTGTAAGACTCTTCCCTCACTCTTCACAGGGTAGGGCCCCAGATTTGGTCCCACAGCACAGTCACACCACCCCGGCTAAACATTCCCATTGGAAGTGGCTCTGTCTCTCTGGGGTGGTGTTCTTAGAGACAACTGACAGCCCCTCTGCCACTACCAATGCAGTGGTACTATCCTTACTGCCCTTGGGCTAGGGAAGAAACAGAGAGCCTGAGTGCTTGGACCTCCAGCACATTGCAGTCACCCTACAAAAAAAAAGGTTAGACTGTTTTCCCCATAAGCTCCTCAAATCTCCTACTCTTCACCACACAGGGCTTCCTATCTTGGGCTCACAACACAGTCTTCCCACCCTAGGCTGATCAATCCAACTTGCCAAGGCTCTGTGTTTCTCTGGAGTGGAGCCCTAAGACACTAGTGAAAGGTGCTTTGCCATTGCCACTGCCAATGTCTCCAACTTTGCTTTCTCTAAGCTGAGGAGTAAGCAAAAAGTCTAAGCTTGCCCCAGGCCTGCAGTGCACAGACTGGAAGTGCCAAGCCAAGGTCTGTGGCCAGCACTGAAGTAGGAAAGGAGTCCACACTCTCAGAGCACTGAGAGGGAGCATGGCTGCAAACATGAGGAAATACAGAGAAACCATCAGACATCTGATGTTTCATATGTCTCCTGAAAACACCCAGAAATGAAGCAACACATGACCTTTCAGCAGAAACCCTACAAGCCAGAAGAAATTAAGGGTCCTATATTCAGCAGTTTTAAAGAAAAAAAATTCCAAACAAGAATTTCATATCTAACCAAACTAAGCTTCTTAAGTGAAGGATCAATAAAATTATTTGTAGATAAGCAAATGCTAAGACAATTTATTACCATCAGACCTGCCTCACAAGAGGTTCTTAAGGGAGTGCTAAATGTGGAACCAACAGACCATTAGCAGCCACCACAAAACCACACTCCAGTACATAGACAATTGAAACTATAAAGCTAATACACAATCAAGTCTACATAACAACCAACTAATAACAAAATGAAAGGATCAAATCCTCACATATCAATATTAACCTTGAAAGGAAATGAGCCAATCATTCCCACTTGAAAGCCACAGACTGGCAAGTTGGATAAAAAATCAGGACCAACTCTATGCTATCTTCAAGAGACCCATCTCCCATGCAAGGGCAACCATAGGCTCAAAGTAAAGGGATGGAGAACTGTCTATCAAAACAAACATAAAACAAAAAGAGAGAAGATGTCACTATTTTTATTTTAGAACAAAAGATATTATATCAAAAACAATGAAAAAGAAGGGCATTTCATAGTGATAAAGTATTCAATTCAACAAGAAGACTTAACCTATACTAAATATGCACCTAAAACTGGAGTACACAGATTGATAAAACAAGTGCATAGAGACTTACAAAGAGATATAAATAACCAAACAATAATAGCGAGAGACTTCAACACCCCACAGACAAAACTGGACAGATCATTGAGAAAGAACACTAACAATGATATTTGGGTTCTAAATTTGACACGTGACAAAATGGGCCTAACATACGTCTACAGAACATTCCAGCCAACAACAACGGAATGTACATTACTTTTATCTGCACATGGCACATACTTTAAAATTGGTCAAACCCTCAACCATAAAGCAGATCTCAAGAAAATTTTTTAAAAAATCATACCACCCACACTCTCAGACCATAGCACAGTAAAAATAGAAATCAAAACCAAGATCTCTCAAAACCATACAATCACATGGAAGTTAAACAATCTGCTCTTAAATGACTTTTGGATAAACAATGAAATTAAGGCAGAAAACAAGAAATTCTTTGAAACTAATGGAAACGAAAATAAAGCATAGCAGAATCTCTGGGACACAGCTAATGTAGTGTTAAGAGAAAATTTGATAGTTTTGAACACCCACATCAAAAACTTTGAAAGATCTCAAATTATTAAACTAACATTACACCTAAAGGACCTAGAAAAACAAAAGCAAACCAACCCTATAGCTAGCAGAAGAAAATAAATAACCAAAATAAGGCCTGAACTAACTGAAATAGAGATGAGAGAAGCCATACAAAAGATCAGCAAAACCAAAAGTTGGTTCTTTGAAAAAAATGAATAAGATAGATATGGTGCTAGCTAAGCTAATTTAGAAAAAAAGAGACAATATCCAAATAAAATCAGAAATGACAAGGAGGACATCACCACTAAGCCCACAGAAATACAAAATCCTCAAAGAATATTACAAATACTGCTACACACACAACTTAGATAACATTGAATAAATTGATAACTTTCTAGAAATATACAAGCCCCCAAGATTGAAAAAGAAGAAATTGAATCCCTGACAGATAAATAATAGTTCCCAAATTGAATTGGTAATAAAAACCTACCAATCAGGAAAAGCCCTGAACCATATGAATTCATAGCCAAATCTACCAGACATACAAAAAAGAGCTGGTACCATTCCTGCTGAAACCATTTCAAAAAATTGAGGAGGAGGGACACCTCCCTATCTCCTTCTATGAGACCAGCATCATTTTGATACCAAAACCTGGCAGAGATACAACAATAAATGAAAATTTCAGGCCAATATTCCTGATGAACATCAATGCAAAAATGCTCAAGAAAATACTGGCAATCAAAATCCAGCATCACATCAAAAAGCTTATTCACCATGATCAAGTAGGCTCCACCCCTGGGATGCAAGGTTGGTTCATTATACACAAATCAGTAAATGTGATCTATCACGTAAGCAGAACTAAAGACAAAAACTACATGATCATCTCAACAGATGCACATAAAGCTTTTGATAAAATTCAGCATCCTTTCATGTTATTAACCCACAACAAACTAGACATTCAAAGTATATACTTCAAAAGAATAAGAGCCATCTATGACACATAGCAAACATCATACTGAATAGTCTAAAGCTGGAAGCATTCCCCTTGAGAACCAAAAGAAAACAAGGAATCCCACTCTCACTCTCACAACTCCTATTCAACACTGTACTGGAGGTCTTAGGTAGAGCAATCAGGCAAGAAGAAAAAAAAAAAGCATCCAAATAGAGAGGAAGTATCTCTCTTCACAGACAATGTGAATTATAGATCTGATAAACAACTTCAGCAAAGTTTCAGAATACAAAATAAATGCACAAAATTTAGAAACATTTCTATACACTAATAAAATCCAAGATAGGAACCAAATCAGGAATGCAATCTTATTCACAATAGCTGCAAAATTAACAAAATACCTAGGAATATAGCTAACCGGGGATGTAAAAGATCTCTACAATGAGAATCACAAAACACTTCTGGAAGATATGAGAGATGACACAAACAAATGGGAAAACGTTCCATGCTCACAAATAGGCAGAATCAATATTGTGATACTGTTAAAAGGGCCATACTGTCCAAAGCAATTTACAGATTCAATGCTATTTCTATCAAACTACCAAAAATAATTTACATAGAACTAGAAAAAAAAAAATCTAAAATTCACTTGAAACCAAAAAGATCCTGAATAGCCAAAGCAACCCTAAGGAAAAAAAAAAAAAAGCTGGAGGTATACATGGTTTCAAACTATACTATGAGGCTACTATAACTAAAATAACTTGATACTGGTACAAAACAAAAACAGGCATATAAACCAATGAAATAGGTTAGAGAACCCAGAAATATGGCTGTACGACTACAGCCATTTAATCTTACAGAAAACCAACAGTAATGAATAATGAAGAAGGGATTTCCTGTTCAATAAATGGTGCTAGGATAACTGAATAACCACATGCAGAAGATTAAAGCTGGATTCCTACCATTTACCATATACAAAAATCAGATCAAGATGTATTAAAGACTTAAATATAAACCCAAAACCATAAAAACCCTGGAAGACAAGCCAGGTAATACCATTTTGGACATAGGAATGGGCACAGATTTCATGATGAAGACACCAAAAGCAATTGCAGCAAAAACAAACATTGACAAGTGAGACTTAATTAAACAAGAGCTTCTGTACAACAGAAGAAACTATCAACAGAGCAAACAGACAACCTATAGAATGTGAGAAAATATTTGCAAACTATACATCTGAGAAAGGTCTAATATCCAAAATCTATAAGAAACTTAAACAAATTGAGCCAAAATCAAACAACCCCATTAATGCTTAGCTCTCACCTACAAGTGAGAACATGTGGTATTAGGTTCTGTTCCTGTGTTAATTCACTTAGCATAATAGCTGCCATCCATGTTGCTGCAAAGGACATGATTTCATTCATTCTTATGGCTGCATAGTATTCCGTGTAGTTTCCTGACATTTTAATGATCGCCATTCTAACTGGTGTCAGATTGTATCACACTGTGGTCTTGATTTGCATTTCTCCAATGACCAGTGATGATGAGATTTTTTTCATATGTTTGTTGGCCACATAAATGTTATCATTCGCCCACTTTTTGATGCGGTTGTTTGTTTTTTTTCTTGTAAATTTAAGTTCCTTGTAGAGTCTGGATATTAACCCTTTGTCAGATGGATAGATTGCAAAAATTTTCTCCCATTCTGTAGGTGGCCTGTTCACTCTGATGATAGTTTCTTTTGTTGTGCAGAAGCTCTTTAGTTTAATCAGATCCCGCTTGTCAGTTTTGGCTTTTGTTGCCATTGCTTTTGGTGTTTTAGTCGTGACGTCTTTGCCCATGCCTATGTCCTGAAGCATGAAGTACACATGGACACAAAGAAGGAAACAGTAGCAACTGGAGCCTACCTGAGGTTGGAGGGTGGGAGAAGGATGACTATTAAAAAGCTATCAGGCACTATGCTGATGACCTGTGTCACAAAATTATCTATACAACAAACCCCATGACACAGAATTTACCCATGTAAGAAACCTGCACATGTACCCCCTTGGATCTAAAAGAAAGTTGAAAGAAAAAAAAAGTGTTATACTTCTATTAGTGTCAAAACTATTTATATTAGTATTAGAAGTTACTATTAAGTTCGACAGGATGTATTAATAATCCAAATTAATACAAGGTTTACTATTACATTGAGAACAAAATGCAGGTTGTGGTGGTTTGAGAATCAACTGAATGAAGACAAAATAGCAAGATAATATAAAAGAGTTTCATAAATTTGAAGGTAAAAGACATAAGAAATATAGGATGATATCATAAAATTGAGAAATAACCTGAAAAATAAAATTTCCTAAGGCAAATGAATTCACTGCAGCGTAATTAGGTAAGAATAGCTTGCTCATGTGGTTCAAGCCAAATTTCTAATTCTAACACTGTCACAACATTTGGGCATTATCAATATTCCTTAATCAACCAATTTTCTTCTCCTGAACATGCCCTTTTTAAGTGAGCAGCTATATAATTTTAATATTTTTTTCTCTTTATTTCTCTCTCTCTATGTTAATTTTTTCAGTGTTACTGTGCTGAATCATGTTCACTAAAAATAAATTGTACTAAGGCATTATGCTACTAATAATAATGATTCTGTCAAATGTTGGAAATTAAAGAAAATAACAATATCTTTACCACTGAATATTCCACTTTACCTCTCTACTGCTTCACAAAATAGTATTGAAGACTTATCATTCCTCTTACTTTTTATGCTGATCTTGCTCAGTATGCCATTTCTTTATTTCCTCCTATTCAATTTTTACCCATCCTTCAGTGTTGAGCTAAAGCCTCACCTCTTCCGTATAGCTTGCTATGACTATCTCAGCCAACTTTCTCCCTTTTTTGACCTTATATAGTTCTTAAGCATACTAGTAAGCACATGGCTCATAATTATATCCTATTGTCTGTTTCCCTCACCTTGAGTTATATGTCCATGTCTCTTCTCAGCAACTTGATTGTGTCAACTCCTCTATGGCAGTGAGCTAATCGTGCATTTTTAGTTGAGCTTCAACTCCCACTCCAAATCTTCTTTCAGTTACTACAAGTATACAGAGCACAGGGTAAGGCACCAACAACTTATTAATCAATGATTAATTTTAACATCTTGAAGAAAATAGAACAGCAAGTATGGACACAGAATGTACCTAAACAGACACTTTTCCTTATCAGTGCTTTTAAATTCTGCTACATAATAACTTTAGAGAAGAAAGACAATAGTATATATATGTGCATAAGCTGAGATTTCCAAGAGAAGATAATAATTTTAGGAGTTACTTAAGCAATTTTATCAGCAAGAAACATATTATATTTCTGGCTTGAAATGTACAATTGAGAGTTCTTAGTGTTCTTAAATAAATTTGATATTTTTCCCCATAAAGAGAGATTTATGAAGCTTTTTTGAACCTCTTGAAAAGAACAAATTTCAAAGGTTTGTACCTTAATGCCTGATTTTACCTGCTATTCAACTGGGCTATCCTTTAAGCACAACCTAATCTAATCTAAAACAAAAATGTTCAACATTCAAAAAGGTTAATTTGAATAATTTCATATGGCCCTGAATATAATAGATCATTTTGGTACATTACCTTAGGTTTTTTTTAACTTCACGTTTGAAACTGTAAAATTTAAATTACAAGTGCACAGAAGTATGCAAAACATTTGAAATAGCTAGAAAACTTGTTTAGGTTCAAAATTTAAACAAAATATAGGGATACATGATGCTGAGATGGCATTTTGAATAAATGTGGTGAATTCCTTAGTAATAATATCTCACAGCTTTGAATAAGGCATATTTTGTTTTATTATCTTCCTCTCTTTTGGTGAATCTCACACATATATTTTTGGCTTTTTGACACTTCTTCCCTTATCAAAAATATCACCATATATGGATGTTGTGTAATCTCTTGATTCTTCTGGCTTTCCATGTGAAGTAATACAATGTTGCAGATCTTTCCTCTGTTCTTCTCTATTAGAATTTATCTGTGTCTCACACCATCAGGGCCCTTCTCTCTGAAAATTAGAACATTAACCAAATACATTAATTATCCTGTGCAATATCATATTTTAACCTAATCAAGGGACAAATCATCAAGGATTTCCTTAAGAAATTAATCTAATAGATTTGCAGCCCCCAGCAGAGGCTATGGTTGGTGGGGAAGTGGTGTGTTTTTTGGTAGAAGCAGTATGGGTATGAGGTATTCTTCAAACCTGTAGTTGATCTAGTAAGGGGCTGTCAAAAAGCTTCCTTTGACAACTATACTAATGATGAACCGACTGGTAGCCCTTCTAAGTTAAGAACTCTCTAAAGTTAGGCAAAACTTAAGTAATAGCATGAAGGGAAAAAGTAGAGCTTAACAAAAGGCTAATTTTCAAGACTTAACTACCCTCTATTGTTATGGTTCTCAAAATTAGGTATACATGCATCATATCATTTGGACAGCTTGTTAAAAAGAGCAGTTTCAGTCCTCTCCTCTCTGAGATTTTGATTGGGCATGCTTGGTGTCTGGACAAAGAATCTATATTATATGTTATAATGACAAAGATGATTACAGTATAGGTGGTCTGAGAAATGAACTCATACAAACTCTGCAGTATAATAAGTGTTCCCCATCAATAGATCTAAACCAAGATGACAATTCTGAAATGCTAGATAAAGACTTCAGAAGGTTGATAATTAAGCTACTCAAGGAGATACCAGAGAAAGGTAAAAGTACCTTAAAGAAATTTAAAATAAATTACAACCTAAGGATAATTGATGTTTCTGAGATAGAAAAGTCTAAAAGTTTAGAAAATTTATATGAGAAAATAATTGAAGAAAACTTTCTGGCCTTGCTAGAGATCTAGATGTCCAAATAAAAGAAGCTCAAAGAACTTCTGGGAAAATCATTGCAAAATGATCATCACCAAGGCACATAGTCATCATGCTATCTAAAGTCAACATGAAGGAAACAATTTTAAGAGCTGTGAGACAAAAGCTTAGATAACCTAAAAAGGAAAGCGTATCAGACTAACAGCAGACTTCTCAGCAGAAACCTTAAAAGCCAGATGGGATTGAGGTCATATCTTTAGTTTCCTTAAACAACATAATTGTTAGCTAAGAATTTGGTATCCAGTAAAACCAAGATTCATCAATGAAGGAGAGGTAAAGTCTTTTTCAAACAAACAAATGCTGAAGAAATTTGTCACTACCAAATCAGCTCTACAAGAAATTCTAAAAGGAGTTCTAAATGTTGAGACAAAAGCTTGATATGACCCAATCCTTAAAGCATAAATCTCACAGGATCTATAAAACAATATCACAGTTAAAAAAAGGTAACTAGGAAACAACTAACATGATGAATAGAATACTGCCTCACATCTCAATATTCATTCTGAATGTAAATGGCCTAAATGCTCCACTTAAAAGATAAGATACAGCATAGCAGTATGGATAAAAATCTACCAAGTATCTGCTGTCTTCAAGAGACTCACCTAACACATAAGGACTCATATAAACTTCAAGTAAAGGGGTGAAAAAATATACGCCCCACAAAAGGAAACCCAAAGTGAGCAGAAGTGCTATTCTTATATCAGAAAAAAAACGGACTTTCAAGCAAAAACAGTAAAAAAAGAAGACAAGAACAGTATATAAAGATAAAATAATTTGTACAGCAGGAAGAAATTACAATCCTAAATTCATATGTACCTAGCACTGGAGCCCCAAATTTATAAAACAATTTCTACTAGACCTAAGAAATGAGATAGATAGCAGCACAATAATAGTGGGGGACTTTAATACTCCACTTACAATACTAGACAGATCTTCAGGAAAAAAAAAAAGTCAACCAAGAAACAATGGACTTAAACTATACCCTAAAATAAGTAGACTTAACAAGTATTTACAGAACAATCTCCCAACACCTGTAGAATATGCATTCTTCTCATCAACATATGGAACATTCTCTAAGACAGATCATATGATAGGCCACAAAACAAGTCTCAAAAATTTTAAGAAAATCAAAAACATTTTTTTCCTTTTTAAAATTATATTTTAAGCTCTTGGATACATGTGCAGAACATGCAGGTTTGTTACATTGGTATACACGTGCCATGGTGGTTTGCTGCACCCATCAACCTGTCATCTACATTGGGTATTTCTCCTAATGCTATCCCTCTCCTAGCCCCCCACCCCATGACAGTCCTCAGTGTGTGATGTTCCCCTCCCTGTGTCCATGTGTTCTCTTTGTTCAACTCCCACTTATGAGTGAGAACATGTGGTGTTTGGTTTTCTGTTCTTGTGTTAGTTTGCTAAGAATGATGGTGTCCAGCCTCACCCATGTCCCAGCAAAAGACATGAACTCATCCTTTTTTATGGCTGCATACTATTCCATGTTGTATATGTGCCACATTTTCTTTATCCAGTTTATCATTGATGGGCATTTGGGTTGGTTCCAAGTCTTTGCTATTGTGAACAGTGCGGCAATAAACATTTGTATGGATGTGTCTTTATAGTAGAATGATTTATAATCCTTTGGGTATATACCCAGTAATGGGATTGCTGGGTCAAATGATTTTTCTGGTTCTAGATCCTTGAGGAATCATTACAGTGTCATCCACTCAATGGTTGAACTAATTTACACTCCCACCAACAGTGTAAAAGCATTCCTATTTCTCCACATCCTCTCCAGCATCTGTTGTTTCCTGACTTTTTAATGATCGCCATTCTAACTGGTGGAAGATGGTATCTCATTGTGGTTTTGATTTGCATTTCTCTAATGACCAGTGATGATGAACATTTTTTCATATGTTTGTTGGCCACATAAATTTCTTCTTTTGAAAAGTGTCTATTCATATCCTTTGCCTGCTTTTTGATGGGGTTGTTTTTTTTTTTTCTTGTAAATTTGTTTAAGTTCTTTGTAGATTGTGGATATTAGACCTTTGTCAGATGGATAGATTGCAAAAATTTTCTCCCATTCTGTAGGTTGCCTGTTCACTCTAATGATAGTTTCTTTTGCTGTTCAGAAGCTCTTTAGTTTAATTAGATCCCATTTGTCAATTTTGGCTTTTGTTGCCATTGCTTTTGGTGTTTTAATCATGAAGTCTTTGCCCATGCCCCTGTCCTGAATGGTATTGCCTAGGTTTTCTTATAGGGTTTTTATGATTTTAGGTCTTACCTTTAAGTCTTTAATCCATCTCGAGTTAATTTTTGTATAAGGGGTAAGGAAGGGGTCCAGTTTCAGTTTTCTGCATATGGCTAGCCAGTTTTCCCAACATCATTTATAAAATAAGAAATCATTTTCCCGTTGCTTGTTTTTGTCAAGTTTGTCAAAGATCAGATGGTTGTAGATGTGTGGCGTTATTTCTGAGGCCTCCGTTCTGTTCCATTGGTCTATATATCTGTTTTGGTACCAGTAACGTGCTGTTTTGGTTACTGTAGCCTTGTAGCATAGTATGAAGTTAGGTAGCGTGATGCCTCCAGCTTTGTCCTTTTTGATTAGAATTGTCTTGGCTATAGGGCTCTTTTTTGTTCCATATGAAATTTAAAGTAGTTTTTTCTAAATCTCTGAAGAAAGTCAGTGGTAGCATGATGGGGATAGCATTGAATCTATAAATTACTTTCGGCAGTATGGCCATTTTTTACAATATTGATTCGTCCTATCCACGAGCATGGAATGTTTTTCCATCTGTTTGTGTCCTCTCTTATTTCTGTGAGCAGTGGTTTGTAGTTCTCTTTGAATAGGTTCTTCACATCCCTTGTAAGTTGTATTCCCACGTAATTTGTTCTCTTTGTAGCAATTGTGAATAGGGATTCACTCATGATTTGGCTCTCTGTCTATTATTGGTGTATAGGAATGCTTCTGATTTTTCCACATTGATTTTGTATCCTGAGACTTTGCCGAAGTTGCTTATCAACTTAAGGAAAGAATCAATATCGTGGAAACAACGGATGCTAGAGAGGATGTGGAGAAATAGGAACACTTTTACACTGTTGGTGGGAGTGTAAATTAGTTCAACCATTGTGGAAGACAGTGTGGTGATTCCTGAAGGGTCTAGAACTAGAAATACCATTTGACCCAGCAATCCTATTACTGGGTATATACCCAAAAGATTATAAATCATTCTACTATAAAGACACATGCACACGTATGTTTATTGCAGCACTCTTCACAATAGCAAAGACTTGGAACCAACCCAAATGCCTATCAGTGATAGACTGGATAAAGAAAATTTGGCTCATATACACCATGGAATACTATGCAGCCATAAAAAAGGATGAGCTCATGTCCTTTGTAGGGACATGGATGAAGCTGGACACCATCATTCTTAGCAAACTAACACAAGAACAGAAAACCAAACACCACATGTTCTCACTCATAAGTGGGAGTTGAACAATGAGAACACATGAACACAGGTAGGAGATCATCACACACTGGGGCCTGTTGGGGGGTTGGGGAGTAGGGGAGGGATAGCATTAGGAGAAATACCTAATGTAGATGACAGGTTGATGGGTGCAGCAAACCATCATGGCACGTGTATACTTATGTAACAAACCTGCACGTTCTAAACATGTACCCCAGAACTTAAAGTATAACAATAATAATAATAATAGAGAAATAAAATAAAGCAGGAGAGAGAAGGTAAGGGGTATGGAGAATAGATTTGGAGCTTTTAACTATACTTCAAATAAGATTTTAAAAAGTAGCAGAAGGTAATTATATTTTGACAAGCAGAAATTCATTAATAAAATTATCTTAGCTGATGCTTTTCCCCCCTAAATTCTTAAACACTTAGCCCATTCATTTTTAGTATTTCTTCTGTTACAAGTCTCTATAGGTCATGAGCCAAATTTAGCTCGACGCCTATATTTCTATGGCTTGTGATCTAAGAATGATTTTTATTTTATAAAATGCATGAAAAATAAGAAAGGGATAACATTTTGGAACACATGAAAATTATATGAAATCCAAATTTCAATGTTCATAAAATTTAATTGGGACAGAGCAACCTTCGCATCTTCACATAATATGTACGGCTTCTTGAGTTGAGGCAGAGTGGAAGAACTGTGGAAGAGATCTTTTGGCCTGCAGAGTCAAAAATGTATACTCTCCAGCACTTTACAGAAATATTTGCTGATTCTTGTTCTATTATATAAGCCTTTACAGTCAGTAGTTTTACTTTATATACTACCGCTGTTACATCCCATCTATTTTTACTTACATCATCATTCTTGTTCAGATATATGTTTAATATTTCATTATAAATTCTTTGATTTATGAGTAACATAGGAGAGTATGCATAATTTCTAAATGCATATTTAAAAACATATTTTTTGTCATTGAGCTTTTGTTAATTGATATTTGTGCCAATAATATATTCTGTTGGATACCTTGCCTTTTTATATTACTGAAATGTCTCTTATTTTAATGGTTACTCTTGAAGTTTTACCATGCATTCTTAACAAATTATAAACTTGACTTTCTGCCTCAATCATGCAAAATTCTTATAACACCTATAAAACAAACAATCCACTTCAAAACAAACTTTAAAATAAATCACAAAATTGTCATTCTTTTATTTGAAAAATTTGATTAATCTACATGTAATCTACTAGCAACCTCTTTTATTATTTTTCACTTTTATAATCAAGAACTTTTTCTGTCATTTCCCTTCCTCAAATTACATTCTTTAAAACTTGCTTTAGTGAAAGGTTTACTGGTGGTTAGCTGTATTAGTTCTTATCTATATGAAAGTATAGTTGTCATTATTGAAAGATAACTTTCAGGGTACTCAATTCTAGATTAAAAGCTATTTTTCTCCCAGCATTTGATGATATTATTTTATTTTATTTTTCTTTTGGCTTCCGTTGTTGCTGCTGAGATCTCTGCCATAAATCAAATGGTAAGAAAGGAGGTGAAAAAATGGAATGTTCAGGAGTAACTACTGCAAAGCCTATATAAAACCTTTAAATTACTCATATAAAAGACACCCCAGAGACTTGGTTTTGTTCATTTTTGTTTGTTTGTTTGTTTCTGCTTATTAAAAAGACGGTACTATTAAGTTCTGAAGGGGAAAACAATTCAGATCTTACTCTCTTTAGTAATACTATGTGGTATCCATTTGTTATCATAATTTCATATTTAAGAGTTATTCATCTTTATTAAGTACTCTGGCAGAGGAAAAATGCAAACAAATAAATGAAAAAGCTGGCAATGAACATTTCCTGCTTAATCTTCCAATTAATTTCTAAATTAGGATGCTAACTACCTAGAAACCATCAAGCACCCGCTGGACTTTAAATTTCCTTTATTACTTTCCTGTCTCTACCCTCTGATATATTCAGAGTATCACTGGATATAAACCCCAAACTGCACTATATTTCTAACAGGTTTCTTTCTGAAGACCAATAGCTATGAAATATGCAAAGCATTAAGCCATCCTAGCAGGCAGGAATACAATAAAAGCAGGTAGTTTTTATTCATCTTTTGTGCTGGGTATGTTTGTGAAAAATCAAATTATTTTCCCTCTAGGGTACCTTCACTGGGATAGTTAATCTAATTTCTTGCTGCTTTATGCTTTTCTCCTTTCATTTTTTTCTGACTGCTATGTTTAGAGGATTTCAAAAAGTACTTTATGCTGCTGAATATAGGTAGATTTATTGAGGAAGTTACACTGACTAAACTCTCATCTTATTCCTGCTCTTCTCCACATCAAAGGGTCAGGCAAAGGAGAGCTTTTGCTGAAAATCCGCTTTAGTTTCTCCAACTGTTAAATTATTTACCACTTTTGTTTTTGTAGAAAATATTTTGATAGAAATGAAAGCCTCAGCAATGATGTGTGATTAATTTCTAAAGTTCACATGTTGACTGGCAAGAGATACAATATGAGGATGATTCTACAGAAGTCACCTTTTGAAGAAAAAATATATGCTGTATTAAGAATCCCATTAAACATGATTTGTTGTGACATAGATCCAAGAATACTGTAGGTCATATCTCGACCTCTTATAATTTACTGGACACAGTCAAAATATCAGAGAATATAGCTAGTTTCTTCCTTCAATATTAACTTTAGAAATAATTACCTTATGTTACACTTTCTAATCCTCTATAGTATGAGAAATCAACAAATTTAAATGTGGCATTAATTTTTCGTCTATACTCAGACTCTGTCTCTATCAAATCATTTATTTTTTCCTGTGAATTATTAGCTATTTTAGCTCTACTTTGAATAAATTCCTGATCGCAGGGCTCAAAAAAGGGTTTTTGAATCACTAATTATCAGGGAAATAAAAATCAAATCCCCAGTAAAATGTCACCTCACTCAGAATAGCCATTATAAAAAAAAAAAAACACCAAACGCTGACATAGATTCAGAAAAATGGGAACCTTTATTTTTGGTGGGAATGTAAATGAGTACAATCATTTTTTTTTTTTTTTTTTTTTTTGAGACAGAATCTCACTGTGTCACCCAGGCTGGAGTGGGCTGACTGCAATCTCTACCTGCCGGGTTCAAGCGATTCTCGTGCTTCAGCCTCCCAAGCAGCTGGGATTACAGGGGTGTGCCACCATACCTGAGCCTCCATAAGTGCTGGGATTACAGGCATGAGTCATCATGCCCAGCCAGATAAAAAGTTATTAATAAGCTCTGGTGTTCTATTGCCTAGTAGGGTTACTATAGTTAACAATATTGCGTATTTCAAAATAGCCAAAAGAGAAGATTTTGAATGTTCTCACCATAAAGAAATGATAAATATTAAAGGTGATAAATATGCTAAATACACAGAGTGGTTACATGTATGAAAGCATCACAGCGTACCCTATAAATATGTTCAATTATGTGTCAATTAACAGTAAGAAAAAACAAATAAAATAGAGTTTTGTCCAGGTGCAAGGGCTCCTGTAATCCCAGCACTTTGGAAGGTCAAGGCAGGCAGATTGCTTGAGGCCAGAAGTTTGAGACCAACCTGGGCAACACTGCAAGACCCATGTTTGTTTAAAAACAAACAATGAAACAAAAACATGGTTTTTGAGACTCAGTTTTTGCTTGTTTTCTGTTTTCTCTTTTGTTCTTATGGATATAGCATAATTGACTTGGTAGGCAACAGTGAAAAGAAGAGCAAAAAAGACATGAAGCCAGGTTTCTAAGTGCAGGTCTACTATCAACTATAGGAAGTTACTTGGTTTTTCTAGATCCCAATGTCTTCCTTTGTAAATGAAGTGTTGAACTACTGTGTTTCTAAGAATTCCTAAATGTACACAACTATCATTATCTGACATCTGAAAGTATAAATGTAGAGCAATAATAGTTTATATTGAAATTAATATAAGTAAAGATGGATAACAATTACTGCTAAAAATGTATATAGAACATAGTATGTTTGAGTGAGCCTAAGGAAGAAAACATAGCTTTTGGAAGTATGATTGGATAAGGCTTAACAGCATAAATTATGGTCTCAAACACATTTGAATTTGTATCTGGTAAATAATAGTAACATTAGGGCAATACAATTATGTAAGATATTAAAATTAATGTAAATTTCTTTTGTTTTTCTCTGAGTGAGATAGAAAACCACTGGAGAATCTTGAGCATAGAAATGACATGATTTGACCTATATTTTTAGAAGACCATCCTGGCTGCAGTGTCAAGAATAGACTTGAAGCAGGGGGCAAAAGCAGAAATAGACCATTTGGAAGATCAAATTATTTGGGAGATCACCAAACTGGGGTATGAATAAGGAAAATCAAGAATAATGCCAGGATTTTAGCCTGAGCAAGTAGGTAGTTGGTGGTACAGTATTAGTGATACACAGAAGAATGAAGAAGAAATAATTTTGGAGAGAAACAGCATAAGTTTGGTTGATACATATTAATTTGACATGCAGATTATACATTCAACTAGAGATGTCAAGGAAGTAGTTGGATATATGAGTCTGAAGGTAAAGAGAGAAGTCCATGCTAGAGATATAAATTTAGGAGTCAACAGTATGCAGAATATATTTACATCCATGAGACTGGTTAGGGTCACAAAGGGACTTGGTAGTGACAAAATAGAAAGGGTCCTAAGACTAAGGGTCCTAAAACCATATCTCAAGAATAGCTGATGGTATCAGTGCCCTCCCCATATCCCCTTGACATTTATAATTTTTGTGTATACCAGCCCACTTTCCAATGGTCAGCAACTATGCATCTTTCCTTTGTCTCCTTTTAAAGATTACCTCTGGACACTAAAGTCTAATCTTTCCTTACACACAGAAAACTAAAAATTCACTCAGGAGCACCTTCCAGTCCATGATAAGAGTTGTGAAATATCTTTTTTCATTCACGCCTTATGTGGGACAACAACATGGTGTATGTTCTACACTGCCTCTCATAATGCCTACTGGGATAAGCTTCCTCTAAGATACAATAAAAACTTGTTTGATAACTCACCCTACATTAGTTTTTTTCTTTCTTTTTTTTTTTTTTTTTTTTTTTTTGAGGCAGAGTTTTGCTCTTGTTGCCCAGGCTGGAGGGCAATGGCATGATCTCGGCTCACCGCAACCTCTGCCTCCCAGGTTCAAGTGATTCTCCTGCCTCAGCCTCCCAAGTAGCTGGGATTACAGGGATGTGTCACCACATCCGGCTAATTTTTTTTTTGTATTTTTAGTAGAGACAGGGTTTCTCTATGTTGGTCAGGCTGGTCTCGAACTCCTGATCTTAGGTGATCTACCCACCTCGGCCTCCCAAAGTGCTGGGATTACAGGCATGAACCACCGTACCTGGCCTAGTTGTTTTCTTTCCATGCTTTATTTCTCTGTGTTCTTATTGGTATTTAACCAGGATCTGCTCCAGGAAGAAAAACAAAAACAAATAATACTGAAATATTGCAATATTTAATTGTTGAGTAGATAAGGAAGAGCCATCAATGTGGCTGAAAAGAAGTGGTTGTGAGATAGAAGAAGAACACTTTATCATCTGTGTTAGATGCTACTGATAGGTCAAGTAAGATAGACTGAAAGTGGCTATTGAATTTAACATTATAGAGGTCATTGACAGTCCTGAAAAGAGTGGAGTGGCAAAATTTTGATTGAAATGAGTCCAAGAAAATATGGAGTGCATTTGTAGAGAGCAAGGTATCAACTATTTGTTCAAGGAGTGTTGCATGAGCAAGGTAGATAAAAAACAAACAAAGAAACAAACAAAAAAACAGCTAGTAGCTACAGAAATATGAGAGATAAAAAAGACTTTATTTCATTTTATTTTGCAGTAGATCCCCCTTATCTGAGATTTGGCTTTCCATGGTTTCCATTACCTATAGTCAACCATGGCCCAAAAACTCTAACTGGAAAAATCCAGAAAGAAAAAAATTATAAATTTTTAAATTGCATACTTTTCTAAGTAGCATGATGAAGCCTTGTGCCATCCTGCTCCATCCTGCTCAGAATGTGAATTACCACTCTGTTCAGCTACTCCATGCTGTCTATGGTACCCCTCCTTTAGTCATTTAGTAGTCATCTCCATTATCAGATTGATTGTCTGGTATTTCAGTACTTGTGTTCAAGTAACTCTTATTTTACTTTATAATGGCCTTGAAGTGCAAGAGCAGTGATATTCATATAGTTAAAATTGTTCTATTTTATTATTAGTTATTGATGTTAATCTCTTACTGTGCCTAATTTATAAAATTAAACTTTATTGTAGGTATGTATTATGTATAGAAAAAATATATACTATACATAAGAATCAATATTGGTGGTGGTTTCAGGCATTCACTGGGAATCGTGGAATGTATCCCTACATACTACTGTATTTTTTAAGATTATAGGATTAACAGGATGTTTGCATACTAATGAGAATAATCCAGTAGAGGAAAGTTTGATAATTAAGAGAAGTGGGAATATTGCTAGAGTGATATGCTTGAGTAGTTTACGTTACATGGGCTAGAGTGCACAAGTGGAGTATCTGGTCTTAGAAAGGAGAACAGAATAGTTGAACATAGTAATGTTAAGGAAAGGTAGATTATATTTGAATAGATGCAGATAGATGTGGTGAGACATGAAGGAATGTCTGAAAATTACCCTAAGAATGCAATATGGGATGCCTGGGCAATGATGAAGCTGGTTCTGCTGATCAACTTCATCTCCCAGCAGGATGGGCTGCATTTGAACTCAGTTCACAGGTGACTGAAGCTTTCTTTTCCATTCTGTAACTCAAACAGAAGGGGCTACATCTTTGCAAAGATGTAGATACGAGGCAGTTCCCTTTCCAAGATACCTCTTTCAAACTGTTGTCACCTAAGCCTAGACATCTTGGCACTCCAGTAGTCTGAATATATTTTCATTAGATAAGGTGTCTCTCATGTTTAGTGCCACTTAACAAATTACCACTCACTTAGAAGGTTAAAACAACAGCATATATATTATCTCATACTTTTTTGTAGGTTGAAAGTCTGGGTGGGCTCCCATAGATTATTTCCTTAGGATTTTACAAGGTGAACATAAATATGTCAGTAGAACTATGTTCTTATTTGGAGGCTCTAGGGAAGAATTCACTTCTAAGCTCATTGAGGTTGACATAATTTACTTTCTTTCAGCTGAGGTCATTGTTTCCTTGCTGGCTGTCACCTGGAAGCTATATGTAGCTTTCAGATCCTTTCTGTGTAACCTTCTCCATCTTTAGTGCTAGCAATGGGATATCTCTCTTGAGCTGAATGTTCTCAGGCTACTCCAATCTTTCTGACATGCTCCTCTCCTACTCTTGAAATTGGCCAGGAATCCCTCTGCTTTTAAAGGACTCATCTGGTTAGGTTAAGCCCACTCAGATCTTTCTTGAGGTCAACTTATTAGTAAACTTCATTACATCTGCAAAATTCATTTTTCCACATCATATAAGAGAATCACAAGACTGACATCAGGGGACCTAGATAATTCTGCCTACCACAGTATGGATTCTGGTTTCCATGATATAGTTCCCTCCCACATGCAAAATACATTTGCTCCATACTAAGTGTCTCAACCTTTTTTCCCAGTATGAGCTCCAATTCAAAATTTCATCATCTGCATCCAAGTGCTAGTAGTTCATTAGCTCAAGTTGAAAAATTTCACCTAGATTATCTTAGCTCAAAGTTCAAAATCTTATTATGTAATTTATGTGCTCAGGTGGAAATAAGGCTCCTGGGCATGAAAATCTTCTCCATACGAGGACCAACAAAGGAAATGAGACAAGTTGTTTTTCCTCACTACTCCCAACATACAATGGTGGAACAAGCATAGGAAAATAGCTTTAGACATTGATTCAAAAAGTGGGGGAAAAAAAGGTAAAAAGGAGTCATGTGTCTAAGCAGTTGGATATCCAACCAGGCAAATGCTGGATTTTTCTTGATTGGGTTTTAAAACCTGGAAATAATTTCCTTACACTCTTGGTTCTCCTCCCTGCCTTCTTGCATAGACTCACTGGGCTTTTGGATTTTTCTGGGCTCTTGATGCTACTCTCTGAGTCCCTCTTCTTTTTATGAAATTTGGTATATTTTTGCATCCAGTGGTTTTATTAACCTGCTCATTGCCAGTAGAATTTTGAGGATCTGACAGCTTTCTTTTATTTTGTATTCCTTTTGTCTTTCAGATATACCTGGCAGTGTTTCTGTTGATATATTATACTCAAGAACCATGTGGATCTTGCATGAATTGCTCTGGGTTTCACTCCAACAGAAAAAAAAAAAAATCCAGGCGTGGTGGCTCACACCTGTAATCTCAGCAATTTGGGACACCGAGGCGGGCGGATCACGAGGTCAGGAGATCGAGACCATCCTGGCTAACATGGTGAAACCCCGTCTCTACTAAAAATACAAAAAAAAAAAAAAAAAATTAGCTGGGCGTGGTGGTGGGCGCCTGTAGTCCCTGCTACTCGGGAGGCCAAGGCAGGAGAATGGCGTGAACCCTGGAGGTGGAGCTTGCAGTGAGCTGAGATCGTGCCACTGCACTCCAGCCTGGGCAACAGAGCGAGACTCCATCTCAAAAAATAATAATAATAATAATAATAAATAAAAAATAAAAAAAATAAAATAAATTTTAAAACCTGGCCCACATATCTTTCTGAAATAATTTCTTACATATTTTTAGCTTCTGCTCAAATGATTGAGACATAGTCTTCTTAAGCTTTCTAGAGGACCTCTGGTGTGATTAAGAGAGGCTCCAACTCATAATCTTAAACTGTTTCAAGAGGTTTTTATCTGACTGAATATTTTTATCTTTTAACCTTCCTGAGGTTTTAGTAAAAAATCATAGAGACTCAGCTTTCCTCTATGCCACACTTTCAACAGCTATGTTTTGCTTTTAGAACCTTTTGCCATCTTGAGAAGCTAAGAATTTAAAATATCATCAGATGCTGTTTTATTTTTGTTTAACGTATCCTCAATTTATCTCTCTCTTTTCTCATGTTTATTGTAAGCAACCAAAAGAAACTAGGCAACACCTTCACAACTATTCTCAGAAATCCCCTTAGCTATATGATGTAGTTTAGATGTGTATCCACACCCAAATGTTGAAATGTAATCCATAATGTTAGAAAAGGAGCATGGTGGGAACTTATTGGATCATGGGGATGGATTTTACATGAATGGTTTAGCACCATCCTCTTGGTGCTGTCCTTGTGATAGTGACTGAGTTCTCACACCATCTAGTTGCTTAAAAGTGTGTGCTGTCTCCCCCATTTCTTTCTTGCTCCTGCTTTCACCATGTGATGTGCCTGCTCCACCTTCATCTTCAGCCATGATTGTAAGTTTCCTGGGGCCTCCCCAGAAGCAGATGCTGCTATGCTTCCTATATAGCCTGCAGAGCTGTGAGCCAATAAAATCTCTTTTTTTTAAATAAATTACCCAGTCTCAGGTATTTATTGCAATGTGTGTATGGCCTAATACACTTTATATCTATGCTCATCACTTACAAGTTCTGCTTTCCACATAACTGCAGGACCCAATTTTGCTAAACATTCTACCACTACATAACAATCATCTACCTTCCTCCAGTTTCCAAAAGTATGTTCATAATTTTCTCTTGCATCTTTAACCTCATAATTGTATTAAAAGCGTATTTAGGGTAATCTAGACTTTTTTCTTCCATGCTCCTGAAAATTCTGCTAGCCTTTCTCCATTTTCATGTTTCAAAGCCACTTCCACATTTACACATATTTGGTATGACAGTAGTTCATTTCTAGGTACCAACATGTGTATTAGTTTCAATTCCTGCATAATAAAATGGGCACAGACTTAGTGGATTAAAGCAATAGTAATGTATTATCTCAGTTTCTGTTGGTCAGAAATAAGGGCATGGCATGACTGGATTCTCTGATCAGGGTCTTTCTAGGCTGAAATCAAGCTGTTTTTCAGGGTCTGGTTCTTATTTGGAACTTGGTGGCCTCTTTCTAGCTCATTATTTGCTGGCTGAATTTACTCCCTTGTGATTATAAAACTGTAGCACCATCTTCCTGTTATTTGTTTTTCAGGGACCACTCTCTTCTCCTAAAGGCAGTTGGCAGTTATTTGTCATGTGGAACTCATAGGCAGTTGACAACAATGGATGTTTGCTTTCTTCCAGGCCAGTTGTAGAATGTCTCTCTGACTTCCTATTCTATGAAACAAAGTTAGAGAAAGCTCTCTGCTTTTGAATATCTCTCTGACTTCCTATTCTATGAAATAGAAAGGCAAAGAAAGCTCTCTGCTTTCGAAGAGCTTACTTGCTTACATCAGGCAAACTCAGGATAAGATTATATAATTTATTAATAATATGATCACAGAAGGGATCCTTCATCACATTCACTGGTTTTACCCGTACTTCAGGAGAAAGGGCTTATAGAAGGATGAAGGTTACTGGGGGTAATTTTAAAATTCTTTCTATTGTACCCTATAAAATTGGAGAGCAAGAGTGGTCAGTGTCATTACACTGGAATAAAAATCTGCTGCATGTCTTATAGATTACTTAAATCTCATTATGCCTCTCCATGAGATGATGAAAGGACTATGAACGTCATATGCTTCTCTTGATACTCTTCTTGTTGACCACCATTTTGTAGCTTTTATCAGTAAAGCCTTTCTTGTTTTGTATGATATTATTAAATTATGAGTCCCTTTGGTGCACAGTTGCCAATCAGCTTGGTAGATGTGGTAGAAGGGGCTGGATATTCTCTCCTGATTTATTCCAATTTCTTACTGAAATGAGAGGCAAGAGAATTAACTGAGAGTGGCAATGTGGTGAGATTTTGAAGATTTGAGGTGAAAAGAAACTTTGAAATAGTCCGTAGTAAGTAGAAGAGAGTATGGGCCTGGAAAATATAATCATATTGCTGGG
This sequence comes from Homo sapiens, assembly GCF_000001405.40. NCBI lineage: Eukaryota > Metazoa > Chordata > Mammalia > Primates > Hominidae > Homo > Homo sapiens. The sequence goes on along the minus strand of NC_000023.11, from coordinate 88,916,548 downwards.
CAGTGTGAAATGCACACTGATATTGTTTGGCTCTGTGTCCCCACCCAAATCTCATCTTGAGTTTTAATCTCCATGTGTTGGGTGAGGGGCTTGGTGGGAGTTAATTGATTCAGGGGGGTGGGATTATCCCTTGCTGTTCTTGTGATAGTGAGTGCATTCTCATGAGATCTGATGGTTTAAATCTGTTTAGTGCTTCCCTCTTCTTTCACTCTCTTTCTCTGTTGCCTCTCTCTCTCTCTCTCTCTCTCCACAATGAAGTGAAGCAGGTCCTTGCTTCCTCATCACATTCTGCCATGATTGTAAGTTTTCTGAGGCCTCCTAGCCATGCTTTCTGTTAAGGCTATGGGACTGTGAGTCAGTCAATCCACTTTTCTTCATAAATTATCCAGTCTCAGGTAATTATTTATATCACTGTGAAAATGAACTAATACAGAGAATTGGTACCAGGAGAGTGGGGCACTGCTCTAAAGATACCTGAAAATGTGGAAGCAACTTTGGAACTGGGTAATGAACAGAGTTTGGAAGAGTTTGAAGGGCTCAAAAGAATACAGGAAGATGTGGGAAAGTTTGGAACTTCCTAGAGACTTGTTGAATGGTTTTGACCAAAATGCTGATAGTTACATGGACAATAAAGTCCAGGTTGAGGTGGTCTTAGATTGAGATGAGGAACTTATTGGGAACTGGAGCAAAGGTCACACTTGTTATGCTTCAGCAATGAGACTGGCATAATTTTGCCCCTGCTATAGAGATCTCTGAAACTTTAAACTTGAAAGAGGTAATTTAGGGTATCTGCTGGAAGAAATTTCTAAATAGCAAAGCATTCAAGAAATAGCCTGGCTGCTCCTAATAGTGTACAGTCATATGTGTTCACAAAGAGATGGTCTGAAATTAGAACTTATGTTTAAAAGGGAAGCAGAGCATAAATTTTGGGGAATTTGCAGCCTGACCATGTAGTAGAAAAGAAAAACCCTTTTCCTGGGAGAGAAATTCAAGCTGGCTACAAAAATTTCTATGACTAAAGAGAAGCAGAGTGTTAATAGCCAAGACAATGGGAAAAAAATGTCTCCAGGGCATATCAGAAACCTTCACAGTAGCCCACTCCATCACAGGCCCAGAGGCCTAGGAGGAAAAAATTGTTTCATGGGCCAGGGTCAGGGACAATTTGCTCTGTGCAGCCTCAGGATATGTCACCCTGTATTCCAGCCACTCCAGCTCCAGCTGTGGCTAAAAGGGACAAAGGTACAGCTCAGACTATTGCTTCAGAGGGTGCAAGCCCCACACCTTGATAGCTTCTATGTGGTGTTGGGCCTGCAGGTGCACAGAAGGCAATAGTTAAGGTGTGGGAGCCTCCACCTAGATTTCAGAGGATGTATGGAAATGCCTGGATGTCCAGGCAGAAGTTGGCTACAGGGCAAAGCCCTCATGAAGAACCTGTCTTAGGGCAATGTGAAGGTGAAATGTGGGGTTGGAGCCCCACACATAGTCCTCACTAGGGCACTGCCTAGTTGAGCTGTGAGAAGAGGGCCACTGTCCTCCAGACCCCAAAATGGTGGATCCCCTGACAGCTTGTACTGTGCACCTCGAAAAGCTGCAGGTACTCAATGCCATCCCATGAAAGCAGCCATGGGGACTCTACTCTGCAGAACCACAGAGGTGGAGCTTTCCAAGGGCTTGGGTGCCCACCCCTTATATCAGTGTGCTCTGGATGTGAGACATGGAGTCAAGAAAGACCATTTTGGAGCTTTAATATTTGATGGCTGTCCTGCTGGGTTTTGCATTTGCATGGTAACTGTAGACCCTGGTTTTGGCCAATTTCTTACTTTGGGAATGGGAACATTTACCCATTGCCTCTACCCGTATTGTATCTTGGAAGTAACTAACTTGTTTTGATGTTACAGGCTCATAGGCAGAAGGGACTTGCCTTATTTCAGATGAGATTTTGGACTTGGACTTTTGAGTTAATGCTGGAATTAGTTAAGACTTTGAGGGATTATTGGGAAGGCATAATTGGTTTTGAAACATGAAAAAGACGTGAGATCTGGGAGAGGCTAGGAGTGGTATGACATGGTTTGGCTCTGTGTCCCAACCCAAATCTCATCTCAAATTGTAATCCCCAGGTGTCAGAGGTGGGGCCTGGTGGGAGGTAATTGAGTCTATGGTGGCAGACTTCCCTCTTGCTGTTTTTGTGATAGTGAGTGATTTCTAATGGAATCTGATGGTTTAAAACTGTGTTGTGATTCCCTTTTTGCTCTCTCTCTCTCTCTTCTGCCACCATGTAAGATGTGCTTGCTTCCCCTTCACTGTCTGCCATGACAGCAAGTTTCCTGAGGCCTCCTAGCAATGCTTCTTGATAAGCCTGTAAAACTGTACATCAATTAAACCTCTTATCTTCATAAATTACCCAGTCTCAGGTAGTCATTTATAGCAGTGTAAAAACAAAGTAATACACACACTCATTGTCAATGATCACGTATTTAAAGTGAATCCATTCAGTTCAATGTGTCTCACCTCACACTATACCAGGCAAAGAGAAAGGATTATATTCATGCCATTAATCCCCTAAAAGATACAAATATAAAACCATTCAATGGCTTCCCATGGTTTTTATAATGAGAGAAAAATTCTGTAATATAATCCACAAAAGCCTTCATGTTCTAGTCCTTTCCTACCACTCTAGCCTCATGTCATATCATGCTCATTTTTGCTTTCTTATGTTAAAATCACATGAAGATTATTTCTTGTCTTCAAACTTGCTGTACTGCATCCCTTCTCAGAAATAGCTACTTTTTATCCCTGGAATGTGAATACCTCTACTTTTTGCCTAGTAGATGCATAGCCACCTTTCAAAGTGCAGCTAAAATAGAACTTGCTCTCCAAAGCATTTGTTGGCCCTCCCCAGGATAAATACGAGTTTCCTGTGCTTTATTTTTATGGTATATTGTCTTAAAATGCAAGCTGCATGTAGTCAGGGATACTGACTCATGCCTATACAAAGTATTTTCCAAATGCTTTTTGAATGAATCCTTTTTCTCAGTTCTACTTTATCTATAATCTGTTACTAGTAAGAATAACTAATTTTTGTGACACGTTTTTAAATCTTAAGCACAGAGTTTTTAAATAGAAAAAAAATTAAAAAGGAGAGTTTGTATTTAGAACAGAACGGTCTACAATCTGGAGTGAGAGGGATGTGGGTTGTGAGTAAATGAAAATATATTCTGCATTTGGGGGGCTAAAATATAAAATTAGCTCAAATAACAAAGTTATTTTTAATCTAATTAGAAACATAAGAAAGTTTATTTTGGGTTTCGAAAGGCATTATGAATTATAAAATGTTATCTGTATAATCAGAAAATGTCATATCTGATGATGTTAAATCTAGGAAGAAATACAAATATCAATCACTGTGGCATATACTTATACTGTTTCAGCTTTATAGAAAATAGAAGTTGAATTTGATTATCTCAGAATTTGCATGATTTACTGACCTTATATGACCTGTGCGAAACAAAGTTTAAAAAAATATATACCCTACTATCATATTAGGTTAACTAGACTTTTAAAGTTCTGTCTCTTGGTTTCTAACAAATTTGGTTCACATTCATTACCCCATTAGTTTAATATTTTATTTAGAGGAATATATGCACTAAGAAAGAATTTTAAGTTTCTAAGATACATACATAACCTCTGAATGAGTATATATTTATTTGTGCAATAATAACTGATAAAGTAAGAAGGACAGTTGGATATGTAAGATCAAAGTACCTAAAACACAATCCTTATTTGTATTTTTAACAGTAAAATTACTTTAAATGGGCACAAAATTAATTATCCATCATTTCACTATTAGTTGAAGAGTTGAGAGGTTGGAAATGGAATATCTGCTTATACAAATGAATTTGGAAAGAAAGGATGATGAAGTTTATTGGGATAATAAGGACCGGAGAGCTCGTGGGTGAATTCTGTCACTATTTTCTCTATCTGTCACTTCCATTAAATGTGAGCTGCATAAGTATTTTCCTACATATGACAATTCCTAGTTTATAGTAAGTTTCAAATATTTCTGGTACTGGCCTTTCTTGTTGCCATAAAATCAGAAGCATATATTCTTATACTTCCTCAACACTTCTGTCCCTTCTTGATTAAAATTCTGATACCACTCCTTTCCTTGGCTAACAGAAAATTTTCTTTTATATAATATCTGGGGATCATTATTGGGCTTTTTAACATTGCAATTATACAAACAGATTATGCTCTTGCTTTGAGAAGTCTAAAATGTGTTTTATACTAATTGTCTCAATAATCCTACATAATTCTGAATAAATGTTTCATTTGCATTAGTTTTGACAATTTTTGAAGTACTTTTACATCATAGTATCTAAGCTTCACAAGTGCCCTTTGAAATCTAAAGAGAGTGTATTTCATCTGCATCTTCCATTTACAGGTGAGGAAACTAAAATTCAGAAAAATTAAGCAATTTAACCCAGCAGATCCTCATTTCCTTTGCATGCCTCACTAAGTAGAAAAGATGAAACTTGATCTCATATTCTATTCTCCTAGTTCAGTGTCCTGTCTACTTTCCTCCTCTGTACTCCTTTACAATAAGTGATGGAGATTTTCTCAGAACACATACATATACATATATATATACACATACACATATATATACACAGACACTTATGTACATACACACACATATATACATATATACATATGTGAGTGTGTGTATATATATATATATATAGAGAGAGAGAGAGATAAAATTCTTTTGAGACAGAGACTTACATTGTCATTCAGGCTGGAGTGCAGTGGTACAGTCAGAGCTCACTGCAGCCTCTACCTCTTGGGATCAAATGACCCTCTTGTCTCAGCCTCCTGATTAGTTAGGACTATAGGCATGCACCAGCATGTCTAGCTTATTTTATTTTATTTATTTATTTATCTTGAGATGGAGTCTCAAACTGTTGCCTGGGCTGGAGTGCAGTGGCGTGATCTTGGCTCACTGCAACCTCCGTCTCCCAGGTTCAAGTGATTCTCCTGCCTCAACCTCCCGAGTAGCTAGTATTACAGGCACCCACCACCACACCTGGCTAATTTTTTTGTATTTTTAGTAGAGATGAGGTTTCAATATGTTGGCCAGGCTGGTCTTGAACTCCTGACCTTGTGATCCGCCCGCCTCAGCCTCCCAAAGTACTGGGATTACAGGCGTGAGCCACTGCACCTGGCCATTTTATTTTCTTGTAGAGACAACATCTCCCTATATTTTCCAAATTGGTCTGGAACTCCTGGCACAAGCAATCCTCCCACCTTGGTCTCCCACAGCACTGAGATTGCAAGCATGAGCCATCATGCCTGGCTGTCAGAATAATTTTTAAATGAAAAGAGTACCATTGAAAATTAGATTATATTGCAACTTCAAAATTTTAACCAATCCAAACACTTTTTATGTTGCCTCTAACTTTAGTTTCATACCAATGTCCTCTTCATTTAACTTCTACTTGCTGAATATTTACTAAACTATACTTCTGGCATTATTTTTAAACACGGATGATGTAGTAGTAAATGAGATCATTATGACCTTTACCTTTATGAAATTTATAGTCTAGTAAAAACTTAAGGAGTGTTATTGGCATTTAAAATAAACTGAGCTAAGAGTGCAATGGGAGAGGAAGAATAGATGTTACACGAGTACAGAGGAGGAACATCTAACCTACATATGGTGGCTCAGTGATAGCTTATTAGATAAAGTGCTTTAAAACTGAGACCAAATTCTACATAGGACAGCATTTTTGAAAGCATGTGAAGTCATTCCACGTACTCTAGAAACATATGCATGGTCCTCAGATTGTACTTACCAATACCTTATAGTGCTTGTCATTGTAATCCATAGCATGATATTGGTGATGGTATTTTGGGTGTGCAGAGAAGCCTGGCAGTCAATTAATTTCTATTAATGCTGCAATGAACTGTTTACTGGAGTCAATTCCTTGCTTTTATTTATTTATTTTTATTTATTATTATCATACTTTAAGTTTTAGGGTACATGTGCACAATGTGCAGGTTAGTTACATATGTATACATGTGCCATGCTGGTGCGCTGCAACCACTAACTCGTCATCTAGCATTAGGTATATCTCCCAATGCTAACCCCCCTCCCTCCCCCAACCCCACAACAGTACCCAGAGTGTGATGTTCCCCTTCCTGTGTCCATGTGTTCTCATTGTTCAATTCCCACCTATGAGTGAGACTAATTCCTTGCTTTTATTAGCTCAGCTGAGAAAGATTTCTCTGACCTAGGTCCGTAGAAATTATTAACTTGAAAAATATCCCCAGTTGCTAGGTGTTTCATCTTCATTATTTAACTAAAGAATAGTATAGTATAAAAGTGACAGTTATATGGCTGTGACTATCACATCATTTCAAGAAAAAGTATATCTATCTTAGAATTATAGAAAAAGAGTAACAACATAAAGATAACAAATATATATGTGTATATTATGTATACAAATATATAGTGCCTAATTTATGCCATTTACTTTACATATATTACCTAATTAAACTCTACAATTCTAGAAGTCAGATAATATTATTCCCATTTTATAGAGAGAAGAAACTGAGAATAAAAGATATTAATCATTGGTCTAATGTGATTGGTGATAAGGAATATAATCAGGATTAAAACCTGGATTTGTCAAAAGTTCACATTTTCCCACCACAGGACAAAGAACTGGATGTATGTGTTAGAAAATAGCATGTCAACAACTATATTTTATTGATCTGGAAACTGAGGTGCAAATTAAGTAACTTACCCAAAGGCACAAGTCATGGGGTATGATACAAATGAGAACATGGGTTTATTGACTTCATGTCATTGATCTTTCCACTAAAGGTACAGGTTTTTTGTGTTTTTTTTCCACAATAGATCACCTTTCAGATCTGCAGTAAAACTCAGAATAAAGCAACATTACCACGAGTCTCTAAACACATGCATCTAGACCTTATGATTTTCCTGTGTTTAATAATATTTGCCTTTTATATTCCTATTAAAAGTACATTGGGGCTTAAATAAGCATTCATGTTTGAAGTTCCAGTGGGGGCTAATATTTGATTCCTGTTGAAATAAGTGCCCTGGAAAATATGTAGAAGATAATCTCTGTTCACCAGAACAATTAAACATAGAAACTTTGGAACTTTTTTCTTCTATTTTCTGTAGAACAAGAACAGGTCATTACTTTATTGACATGCATAAAATACATCACATTTTCTGTTCTGCTGATGTTGTAAATTCAATGCCAATTCTCCAGCCACAATGGTTATGAGCATAAAGTATACCACGCAACCTCAAATTTCTAACGGTGAAAAGTTTAAACATGGATGGATACTGCTGAGTAATGCTGCTTTCTTTGATATTATAGCTGAGTATCTGTCTCCCTCCCCCGCAGATGATTTCTTCAGCATGTTAGAGCAGTGAGGAATCGTTTTAGTCTCATACTAAGGTAAAGTGAAGACATTGGTCACATAATACACATATTCCATTTTTTCAAATTTCTGAATCTTGAGTAACTTTTCCCTTGTAACTAGTTTATAGTTTCTAAAAGAAGTTATTGTCCAAAGCTGTAAGAACTTAAGAATTCTCTGATAAGCATGTGACTGAATGGAGGGAGACTAAAAAATAATTAAAACGATGAGGTATGATAGGGGAGCAGCTGCATAAGAAAATCAAAGTAGGAACAATAAAGTTTATTACAGTTATAATGCAGGTTATTCTGACTTTAAGGAAGCATTGTATGATGTACTTCTCAGTCTATTTCCAAAACATTCTGTTATTATTTTGTCTGTTTTATAGGTCCTTGCAATCTCTAGCACTAGGGGGTTTCTGGATTTGGATCACATAACAGTGAACAAATTGATGTAAAAATAACTTCAAAAATGTTAAAGCAGAAGACCACAGTGATCTTAGAATACTGAGACCAATGGTCTCATTACTTAAATGTTTGGATGATAAATTCTTGTAATAAATGCAACCTTAGGTGGTTTGAAGGAGTAGTCTGAATGAAAATGAACTGTCAAGAAGAACACACCCACCTTGATACAGGCTGTAATGAGGTCCTATAATTGTAGCCTGCCAATGAAAGCTATCACATCCAACAGAACACTGTGCTAGAGGGCCAAGGACAAAAAACCTAAATTCCTTATTAATCTGCTTCAGTTACATAGTTGTGTTTTTTCCCTGGCTCCTCACTATCCCAGTGTGTGCTCAAAGGTCCAGCCAAAATTCTTTATTATCCAAGCAGCCAGGAAGAATTGTCTTGGTCTCACATCGTCTCTGCCAGACACAGACAAAAAAGGGTCAGGGCCTCCCTCAATCTGTGGCTTTGGCCTCCACCATGCAAGGCAGCTGGTGCCTCCTGGGCCCTACGGAGCTCTCACGTATGACACTTGGAAATGCTGAACAGGAGAATGAAGTATAGTAATAAAAGCAAAAACCGAGGAATTGTATCTGCTTAAAGTGGACAAAGAAGAAACATTTAAAATCACTCTAAGCTAGCCACTTGATACGGTTTTAGTGACGCAACAGAAATGGTAAAAGCGGGTGTGGACCTCACCTGGTCCTATTGCCTCTTTCCTCCCTATTCCCACCAGCTAGTCATTATTTGCCTGCAAGTCTTGCAATCATTTGGCTCATGTGAGAAGCAAGTAGCATACCATTGTCACACTCCCATGTTCTCAGGCTACTTTATGTCTTTCTGAGCTAAGGCTGGAAATAAATAACTTCCATTGCAGTGTCTTTTTCTCTTCCTGAACTCTTAGCTCACTTCTCTTGAATGCCTTATCTTGTTCTGATAGGCATCAAACAGGATTTTGTTTTATGTATTTATTTTGCTTCTAGATAATAACTCAATGTGACATCACTTACTTATTTTGCTTTTATATTCTTATTTCTAATATGTCTAGATAATATATATTATATATAATATATATAGTAGTAGCATGTGAAAATCTTTATTGCATAACCTAAACCCAAGTAATTATTCACATTAGTAGTTTGGTGTTTATTGTTGCAGATCCATCCCACGTTTATAGACACATAAACATAAATGCAAATTGGATAAATTAAAAAGAGAACATAAGAAAGAAGTTAGCAGGTGGACTGGGTATAACTATACTAATGGAAACAGAAAGAATGCTGACATATTCATAGAATAACATTGCCCCACCAATATTGTACATTATCATTATACAACCTCTTTACAAGTGAAAATATTTTTGCCCTTATATTACCCTTCAGTCCTCCTCTCCCTCTTTCAATGCCCATGATAAATCTGTATTTTTAATTGTTGGGGTTTGATAACATCTACCTTCTGCTCTGTAATCATAAACAATTATATCGTTTCTTGAATTATTTTCATAGTTAACATTATACCGAACAGGGAAAAGTTGAAAGCATTCCCCCTGAGAACTGGAATAAGACTAGGATGCCCACTTCCACCATTTCTATTCAACATAGTACTGGAAGTCCTGACCAGAGCAATCAGACAAGAGAAATAAATAAAGGGCATCCAAATTGGTAAAAAGGAAGTTAAACTGTCACTGTTCACCGATGATATGATCGTATACCTAGCAAGTTCTAAAGACGCATCCAGAAAGCTCCTAGAACTGAAAAACAAATTCGGAAAAAGCTCAGGATACAAAATCAATGTACACAAATCAATAGTGCTGCTATACACCAAAAACGATCAAACTGAGAATCAAATCAAGAAATGAATTCCTTTTACAACAGCTGCAAAAAAAAAAAAAAACCAACTAAAGTACTTAGGAATACACTTAACCAAGGAGGTGAAAGATATCTGCAAGGAAAACTACAAAACACTGCTGAAAAAAGTCATTGATGACACAGGAAACAAATCCAATGCTCATGAATGGGTAGAAATGACATTGTGAAAATGACCATACTGCCAAAAGCAATCTAAAAATTCAATAATGCAATTCCCATCAAAATACAATCATCCTTCATAGAACTAAAAAAAAATATATTAAAATCCACATGGAACCAAAAAAGAGCCATATAGCCAAAGCAAGACTAAGCAAAAAGAGCAAATCTGGAGGCATCACATTATCTGACTTCAAATCATGCTACAACACTAGAGTTACCAAAACAGCATGATACTGGTACAAAAATAGGCAAGTAGACCAATAGGACAGAATAGAGAACCCAGAAATAAAGCCAAATACTTACAGCCAACTGCTCTTTGACAAAGCAAACAAAATATAAAGTGGGGAAAGGACACCCTATTCAAAAAATGGGTGGTGGGATAATTGGCAAGCCACATGTAGAAGAATGAGCTGGATCCTCCACTCTCACGTTATACAAAAATCAAGTCAAGCTAGATTAAAGACTCATATCTAAGACTCATAAAAATTCTAGAAGATAACATCTGAAAAACTTCTAGACATTAGCTTAGGCAAAGATATCATGACCAAGAACCTAAAAACAAATCCAACAAAAACAAAAATAAACAGATGGGACCCAATTAAACTAAGAGCTTCTGCACAGCAAAATAATAATAATAATTATATATATAATATATTATATATATTATATATAATATATAATTATATTATATATAATAATATTATATATAATAATATATATAATTAATATTATATAATATATAATCATATTATATATAATATATATAATTAATATTATATAATATATAATCATATAACTATATTATATTATTAGATAATTATTTATAATAACAATATAATATAATAATATAATTATATAACTATTCATAATAATATAATAATTTATAATAATATAATAATATAATAATATAATTATTTATAATAATATAATTATATAATAATATAATTATTTATAATAATATAATTATTTATAATAATATAATTATATAATAATATAATTATTTATAATAATAAAATTATATAATTATGTATAATAATAAAATTATATAATTATTTATAATAACATAATTATATAATTATTTATAATAACATAATTATATAATTATTTATAATAACATGATTATATAATTATTTATAATAACATGATTATATAATTATTTATATTAACATGATTATATAGTTATTTATAATAACATGATTATATAGTTATTTATAATAACATTATATAATTATTTATAATAACATGATTATATAATTATTTATAATAACATAATTATATTATTACATTATTATATAATTATTATATTATTATATTATTATATAATAATTATATAATTATATTATTATATAATTATTATATTATTATATTATTATATAATTATTATGTTATTACATTATTATATAATTATTATATTATTATATTATTATATAATTATTATATTATTATTATATAATTATATTATTATATAATAATTATATAATTATACTATTATATAATAATTATATAATTATATTATTATATAATAATTATATAATTATATTATTATATAATAATTATATAATTATATTATATAATAATTATATAATAATAATTAATTTAATAATTATTATTAATTATTATCAGAAGAGTAAAAAGACAATCCACAGAGTGGGGGAAAATATTCACAAACTATGCATCTGAAAAAAGATTAATATCCAGAATCGACAAGGAACACAAGCAAATCTGCAAGAAGAAAACAATCCCATCAAAAAGTGGGCTAAGGACATGAATAGACAATTTTCAAAAGGAGATATACAAATGTCCAACAAATATATGAAAAAACACTCAACACCACTAATTATCAGGGAAATGTAAATTAAAACCACAATGAGATAGCACCTTACTCCTGCAAGAATTGCCATAATTAAAAAATCAAAAAACAGTAGATGTTGGTGTGGATGTAGTGAAAAGGGAACACTTTCACACTGCTCGTGGGAATGTAAACTAGTACAGTCACTATAGAAAATAGCATGGACATTCTTTAAAGAACTAAAAGTAGAACTATCATCTGATCCAGCAATTCCACTACTGCGTATCTACTCAGAGAAAAAGGAGTCATTACATGAAAAAGACACTTATACACACATGCTTATTGCTGCACAATTCACAATTGCAAAAATATGGAACCAGCCTAAATGCTCATAAACCAATGAGTGGATAAAGAAAATGTGATATATCATGGAATACTACTCAGGCATCAAAAGAAATGAAATAATGGTATTCACAGCAACATGGATGGAGTTGGAGACCATTATTCTAAGTGAAGTAACTCCAGAATGGAAAACCAAATATTGTATGGTCTCACTTATAAGTGGAAGCTAAGCTATGATGACACAAAGATGTAAGAATGATATAATGGACTTTGGGTATGCAGGGGGAAGAGTGGCAGGGGTGTGAGGGATAAAAGACACCACATTGAGCACAGTGTACATTGTTTTGGTTACAGGTGCACCAAAGTCTCATAAATCATCACTAAAGGATTTATTCATGTAACCAAAAGCCACCTGTTCCCCAAAAACTATTGAAATTAAATTAAATTAAATTTTAAAAATAAAAATAAAAAATAAAAACAAACCAATATGTAAATAAATGCAGAGACTAATATGACCATGCAATTATTGCAGGCTCTTAATTAGTATTTATTTTTCTGGAAATTCTGCAATGGCTGTTTTGTTCAAAGAACATTTCAGGTGAGAAAAGGATTAATAGTTTACTTCCACATGTTTTTATTTTTACTTATTTGTTTCACTTTTACTATTTATTTGTAGTTATTGTGTTTTGTGGTAAGATAATATGTTTTAATTCTACTTTTTTGTACTTTTGAGATATTTATAAAACGAGTCATTTATTATATTTTTTGATAGAGGTATGAAGAGAGGTTGTTGTATTGGATGTTTATAAGATGTAGCATTCTAAATATATCTATTAGAACAAATTATATTAATATACGATCAAAACCTCTACCAACATAATTACTAATTGTCTGCTGGATCAGGTGAGAACTGAGAGTGACTGTGAAAGTTTTATACTCCTTTAATTGTTTTTATTTTTATTTCATCTTGAATTTCCACCACATTATTTTATACATGTAAAATATTTAGCAGGCAGATTGACTTAGAATAAAATTCAATAAATGTTCGTTATTATCATTGTTATTATTTATATTTGATGCTTCATAATTTTACATATAACTTCATTTTATTTCATTGGAAATGGTTTGCATTATCATTAAAAATGGTAGTCACTTCATAATGTATATGTTTATCAAAATACTACATCGTACACCTTAAATATATACAATTTTTATAGGTCAAAACATTTTTTAAAGCAACCTCCATTTTGCTTACAAAAACAGTTTTCATATATTTCAAATTGACAAATAATAATTGTATATATTTTGGGGTGCAATATCATGTTTTGATATATGTATATAATGTGGAATATCTAAATCAATCTAATTAACATATTAATCACCCCACTTACTATTTTTTGTGGTGAGACATTTAAATTTTAGTATCTTAGCTATTTTGAAATATGGTATATTACAGTTTGAGCATTCCAATCCAAAAATCTAAATCTAAAATGCTATAAAATTTGAAACTTTTTGAGTGCCACCATGACACAAGTGGAAAAGTTTACACCTAACCTCATGTGATGGGGTGCAATCAAATCAGAATCGAAATTTTGTTTAATGTACAAAATTACTTAAAATATTGTATAAAATTACCTTCAGGTTATGTATATAGGGTGTATGTAAACATTAAATAAATTTCATATTTAGACTTGGGTCCCATCCCCAATATATCTCCACAGTGTTTTCCATAGAAGTTGTACTAGTTTACATTTCCACCAACAGTATGTAAGAGTTTCCTTTTATTCACATGCTTGCCAACATCTTTTCCTTTTCTTCTTTTTAATAATCGCCATTCTAACTGGTGTCAGATGATAACTCATTGCAGTTTTAATTTGCATTTCTCTGACATTTGGTGATGTTGAACATTTTTTCATATGCCTGTTGGCCACTTTTGTGTTTTCTTTTCCTTTGCCCACTTTTTCATGGGATTATTTGGAGTTTTTTGTGTTGTTGTTGTTAATGTTGTTGTTAATTTACAAGTTTCTTGTAAATTCTGAATATTAGTCCCTCGTCAGATGCATAGTTTGCAAATAAATTAACCAATTCTGCAGGTTGTCTGTTCACTCTGTTGATTATTAATTTTGCTGCACAGAAGATTTTTAGTTTATATATTTTCGTTTTTGTTGCTTGTGCTTTTGTGATCTTACTCATAAATTCTTTCTAGACCAATGTTTGGAAGAGTTTTCGGTAGGTTTTCTTTTAGTATTTTTATAATTTCAGCTCTTATATTTAAGTCTTTCATTCTTCTTACATTTATTTTGTAATCAGTTTTAATATTCTACACTTGGCAGTCCAATTTTTCAAGCATCATTTATTGAAAAGGGTGTCATTTCCCCAGCATATGTGCTTGACAGTTTTTTAGAAGATCAGGTGGTTTTAAATATTTTTAGGTTCTCTATTCTGCGCTATTAATCTATGTGTCTATTTTTATACAAGCACAATGCTGGTTTTGTTACTATAGCCTTGAAGTGTAATTTAAAGTCAAATAATGTGATATTTCCAGCTTTGTTATTTTTACATAGGATTGCTTTGGCTTTTCACGCTCTTTTTTGTCTCATATACATTTTAGAATAGATTGCTTTTCTAACAATGTGAAAAATGGCATTGGCATCTTGATAGGCATTGCATTATAGCTGTAAATGGCTTTGGGTTGTATGGTCATTTTAAAGGTATTAATTATTCTGATCCATGAGAATGGGAAGTTTTCTGTTTGTTTGTGTCATATATAATTTCTTTCATCAGTCATTTGTAGTTTTTGTTGTAGAGACCATTCACCTCATTGGTTAAATATTTTCCTAGGTATTTTGTTTGTTTATGTTTGTAGTGATTGTAAGTTTTGTTGCTTTCCTGATTTGGTTGTCAGCTAGGTCATTATCGGGGTATAAAACTGCTACTGATTTTTGTACTTTCATTTTGTATCCTGAAACTTTGGTGAATTAATTTATCAAATCTAACAGTTTTCTGGTGGGGTCTTTACATTTTTCAGGTGTAAGATCTAATCATTAGCGAATAGGGATAATTTTACTTCCTGTTTTCAACTTTTGATGCCTTTTATTTCTTCCTATTGTCTGATTGGTTTGGCTAGAACGTCCAGTGTCATCTTGAATAGAAATGGTAAAAATAGGCATCCTTGTTTTATTCCAGTTCTTAAAGTAAATGCCTTCAAATCTTCCCCATACAGTATGATGTCGGCAATGGGTTTGTCATATATGACTGTTATTATTTTGAGATATGTTCTTTATCGGTTTAGTTTGTTGAGGAATTTTTATCACAAAGAAATGCTGGATTTTCGCTGGGCACCGTGGCTTACGCCTGTAATCCCAGCACTTTGGGAGGCTGAGGCGGGCGGATCACAAGGTGAGGAGATCAAGACCATCCTGGCTAACACAGTGAAACCCTGTCTCTACTAAAAATACAAAAAAATAGCTGGGCGTGGTGGCGGGCGCCTGTAGTCCCAGCTACTCGGGAAGCTGAGGCAGGAGAATGGTGTGAACCCAGGAGGCGGAGCTTGCAGTGAGCCGAGATGGCGCCACTGCACTCCAGCCTGGGCAAGAGTGCAAGACTCTGTCTCAAAAAAAAAAAAAAAAAAAAAAGCTGGATTTTATCAAATGCTTTTTTTCTCACCTACTGAAATGATGATATAGTTTTTGTCTTTAAATCTGTTAATGTGATGTATCACATTTATTGATTTGCCTATGTTAAACCATCTTTGCCTCCTTGGCATAAAATCTACTTTATCATTATGTATTATCTTTTTGATATGATGTTGAATTGCTTTTCTAGTATTTTGTTGAGAATTTTTATGTGTATGTTTATCATACACATTGATTATTGGTCTTTAGATTTGTTTTATTGTTGTGTCCTTGTCCGATTTAGGTATCAGGGATCATACTGGCCTCATAGAATGAGTTAGAAAAAATTCTCTCCTCCTTGTTTTCTTTTCTTTCTTTTTTAACAGTTTCAAAAGAATTGTTGTTTGTTTTTCTTTGTACATTTGGTAGAATTTAGCTGTGAACCTGTCTGGTTCTGAGGTTTTCTTTCTTTGGAGCTATTTTATTCCAGATTCAATCTTGGAACTTGTTTTTGGTCTGTTGAGGTTCTCTATTTCTTCCTGATTCAGTCTTAGGAGGTTGTATGTTTTCAAGAATTTATCCACTTTCTCTACGTTTTCTAATTTTTGAGTGTGTTGTTCAAGATGGTCTCTGGTGATCTTTTGTTTCTCTTTGATGTCAGTTGAGTTTGAATTTCCAAATTTGTTTATTTGTATCCTCTGTCTTCTTGGGTTTTATTGCTACTGGTTTATCAATTTTGTTTATCTTTTTTTTTTTAAACATTTTGTTAAATCATTGTAATTTTTGTTTCAATTTCATTGAGTTCTGCTGTAATTTTTCTTTTCTTCTGCTGTTTATAGGTTTGGTTTTTTGTTTTTGTTTGTTTGTTTTCGGAGTCTCGCTCTTTCTCTTAGGCTGGAGTGCAATGGCCGGATCTCGGCCCACTGCAACCACCCCCTTCTGGGTTCAAGCGATTCTCATGCCTCAGCCTCCCTAGTAGCTGGGATTACAGGCACTTGCCACCATGCCTGGGTAATTTTTGTATTTTTAGTAGAGACAAGGTTTCACCATGTTGGCCAGGCTGGTCTCAAACTCCTGACCTCAGGTGATCCACCCGCCACAGCCTCCCAAAGTGCTGGGATTACAGGCATGAGCCACTGCACCCAGCCTAGGTTTGGTTTGTACTTACTCTTCACTCCTTGAGAGGTGATGTTAGGTTGTTAATTTGCAATCTTTCTACTCTGTTAATATAGTCATTTAATGCTATAAACTTCTCTCCGAAGATTACTTTGTCTGTATCCCACAGGTTTTGGTATGTTGTGTTTTCAATTTTATTAGTTTCAACAACTTTTAACATTTCAATTTTAATTTCTTTCTTGGCCCAATGATCATTCAGGAGTATGTTGTTTAATTTCCACATATTTGTATAATTTCCAAAGTTTCTCTCGGTATTGATTTCTAGTTTTATTCTATTGAGGTCATAAAGGATACTTGATATAATTTTACTTTTAAAAAGTTTGTTGAGACTTGTTTTCTCAACAAATATGGTCTATCTTAGAAAATTCTCTATGTGCTAATGAGATGAATATATATTCTTTAGTTTTTGGGTGGAATGATCTGCAGATGTCTGTAAATTCCATTTGTCCTAAAGTCCAATTAAAGTTCAATGTTGCCTTGTTGATTTTCTATCTTATCTGTCTAATGTTGTAAGTGGGATATTAAGCTTCCCTACCATCTGTTAATTGGTGTCTCTCTCTCTCTCTCTTTAGGTCTAGTAACATTTGTTTTATAAATCTGGGTTCTCTGGTGTGGTGTGTGTATAAATTTAAAATTGTTATTTTTTTTCTAAATTGATCCCCTTGTTATATAATGACATTCCTTGTTGTTTTTTACTGTTTTTGAATATAATTCTGTTTTATCTGATATAAATATAACTACTTCTGCTCTTCTTTGGTTTCCACATGCATGGAATATATTTTTCAACTACTTTACTTTCAGTCTAGTTGTGTCTTTATAGATTAGTTCTTATAAGCAGCATATAGTTGAATGATTTTTTTAAAATATTCTACTAATCTACATCTTTTAAATGGAATGTTTAATCTATTTACATTCAAGGTTAATATTGATATTTAAGGTTTTGTTTCTGTCATATTATTAATTGTATTCTAGTTGTTTCATAGATCCTTTTTTTCTCTGTGGTTTGGGGAAATTCTCCCATATTGACATCTGATTCACTTATCTTCCTTGTTCATATGTTTTCATCATGATGAATATTGGCCTTTCATTTCCATGTTTAAGACTCCTTTGAGAATGTCCTATAGGGCTGGTTTGTTGGTGAATAGTTCCCTCAGCATTTGCTTATTTGGGAAAGACTTTATTTTGCCTTCATTTATGAAGCTTATTCTTGCTGGATATAAATTTTGTGACCAAAAGGTTTTTTTGTTTTGTTTTGTTTTGTTTTTTCTATACCTTGAAAATGTCATTCAATCCTTTTATGGCCTGTGAAGATTCAGCTAAAAATCCATTGTTGTCTGTATTAGTATGTTCTCACATTGCAATAAAGAACTACCTAAGATTGGGTAATTTATAAAGAAAATAGGTTTAACTGATTCACAGTTCCACAGGCTGTATAGGAGGCATGGCTGGCGAGGCTTCAGGACACTTACAATCATGGTGGAAGGTGACCAGGAAGCCAGAACATCTTACATGGTGGGCGCAGGAGGAAGAAAGAGAGAAGAGAAGGCAGAGGTGCTACACGCTTCAAACAACCAGATTTCATGAGAACTCTATCACAACATAGCACTTGGGGGATGGTGCTAAACCATTAGAAACTACCCCATGATACAATCACCTCCCACTAGGCCCCACCTCCAACACTTGGGATCACAATTCAACATGAGATTTGCATGGGGACATAGAGCAAAACCATATCATAGCTTAATGGCATTTCCTTTATAGGTGATGAGACACTTTTCTCTATCTGATTTTGCAATTCTTTTTTTTCACTTTGACTTTAGGCATTCTAGTTATAATATGCAGCGTTGCAGTCTTTTGTGGAATGTATTTGGCTGGGAATCACTGGGTCTCATATATCTGGATATCTAACTCTCTTGCTAGACTTGGGATATTTTCAGGATTTATTTCTTTAAATATGTTTTCTAAACTCGTTGATCTGTCCTATCAGAAATTTTGATAATTTGAATGTTGGGTCACTTTATGTAGTCCTAAGCATCTCAAAGGTTTTGTTTATATTTTTATTCTTTTTTTCCTTATTTTTGTCTGAGGGTACAGGTTTAAAAGACACTTTTGTTTTGGGTAGTATAAGACAAAATGTTTACTGATGCTGTTTTCCCCAAATTACATACGTTTTTGGATGAAGGCAATATTATAATCAGGAACATGCTTCTAAATTTTGAGTTGTGAGTATTTTGAATACGTATATTGGACAGTCTTCTATCTTTCTCCCTAAAATTTTTAAAGTCCTCAATTTATTTCTGTTTAACAAGCCGATACTGAATACTGTCTGATTACCAAGGCTACTGTCCAATTGTCTGGGCACATGGAGTCACAAATTTTGCAAAAGGAATGCATTGAACCCTCAGGTGAGGAGGGCCTGATTCAGACTCCTACTGCCAATTAGAAACAGCATTAACAGTCTTCTAGCAAAGTCCCACCCATTCTTCTGCAGCAGTGATATAGCCTTAAGGCAACATTCCAAATAGTAGCTCAAAGTAGGGGAAAATTAAGACTGTAGAAAGAAAAGAAATATGACTTTGTTTTAAAATGCTTACTTTTTTAAGATGGCTACAATGAGTCCAACTAATACTGTGGCTCTGTCATTGTCAAATAATTTGTATATTCCCCAACTGACACTTAGACATAGGGTGATTATTAAGATATTAGTACCCAAATCATATTAACTGGAGACTGAACCATTTATTTGAATACCGTTTTGTTTTGAATTGAAATATTAGGCTTTCTGCTATTTCTTAGTAATCTTCCACTTAGTAATAAAGCACATTTCAAAAAATTATGAAAAGACTAATATAGACAGCCATACTAAAATAATACCAAGCCAAACCTGAAAATTATATATAGACTAGCTCCTATATCTTTTTCTCTCATTATTTTTCACACTATTAGTTATATGCATAAATTATATTTGTATTTAATATATATACACACATGCAAAATAGTTTGAAATGCACCTTATTCTCTATCTATAATACTATCAAATTGAGTGGCAAAATTGGTTTGAGAACTGATAAAGAAAATATTTGAAATACCACAGAGTACCGCTTAAATACAACCAATACCTCATAAGATCTTTATATTTTCGCCAATAAGAACTACATTTATTGCATATTGGTATATACTTAAATGTGTCTATACACATATAATAAAATTGAATCTCCAAAATACCAACTCTTCAATGAGCTGTGTGGTAAAGCACTCATTTTTCACCTGTGTGGGTTTAATACAATTTTCGGACATTTTAATGAATACATACATGCATATGTGTGTGTATGTACGTGTATCTCTTCTGGTTTAGCTTGCCATAAAATCTCTATGAATAGTAACCTATATAAAAAAGCAGCTTTTACATTTTCACCTTATTATTTATTACATCTAATGTAAGAGAGATTATTTATATTAAGACAAATGCTAGATCTATATTAAGGAATACACTAAATGTTGTCCTAATATTCCAATTTATCTGTGCCCTGAGTGCTCTATAATAAACTCAAACACAACCATTTAATTTATATAAAACATAAAACAAGTAATTATAACTATGGTAACAAAACTTTGGACTATGTTATTTTTACATTTCATGTCATAAGATAACTTAGATACAACTAAGATAAGCATGAACCCATCAAATTATGGAATTTGATGACAAAGTACTATGATATTTTGAGGTATGTGGCCTCATATATAATTTATCAATTCATTTTTTTCAAAGTAAAGTTTATCAAGACTTAATACTTTTTTTCTTGAATATCTTTCTGCTTTTGAATATTTGCAAATAAATCCTTAAGTTATATTTTGATAGAATTAATATTATAAATAAAAAACTGTAAAACACCATAAATAGATACAATATATTTTTGGAGATGAATGGAAATTTGGAGGGGGGTGCGCGGATTGCAAGATACATGTACCAATAATACATAAAATTAATATAATTTGGTTTACTAGTAACATGCATTTTAAATACTAGTTATCGCTAATGATTACTATGTAGAACACTTAAGTTTTAGCATCCAAAATATTCTAACATAAAATGGAATTTACAAAATTTGTCAGTGGACTATAATGCTCTGTCAAAAATAATAAAAATACCCTATAATTCGAATTATAGATTCTAAAATTAAACAGATTAGTAATGTCAGAAAAATAAACATTCAAAAATAGTTTGCCAAAAAAGAAACCATGTATCTTATAATTTACCATTTTTCCCCAATGAAATAGTATATTTTAGGCCACAATATTGGAGTAGTACAATTTACATAAAATACAGAAATGAGTATTTAAAGAATGAATTCTCAAGATTTTCGTTAGTATTAATGTATATTACTTTAAATACCGTAACAGAATCACATTCATAATTAAATGTCTCAGGTAGTTATATTTGTCTTCTCTTGAATTATGAAAATTATTTATATATTCAATCTTAATATTATACATTCATTACCGAGCAGGAAAAAAATCTGCAGGATACGAATTATTCCAAGGAATAATTAAAATGTTTTCTTCTATTTTAATTTTTTTTAATAAAATTATTTCCAATGACACAAAAATCCACATTGCTTCTGGGTCAGCTTGCAAATCACAGCTATGTCTGTATAAAGTAAAGCTACTTGTTAATACTTATATTTCCCTTGCCTGTAGCTATAAACTCTAATGCTGTAATGATTCCTTAATGAAAGAGATAAGTAATAATGAGATAATAATAAATGTAAGTTAAATTATTAATTTAAAAAGGCAAGGCAAGCTGCAAGGGGGCATACTCTATATTTTAAAAGCTCTCAGAGAGATATGAAACCAGAAACAGCTTAGCACAGCTTAGCACCTAAACTTTAGCCTGCAGTCATGTGGTAATAAAACTATAGACTATGTTTGTTACTGGCATTGCAAATATATTTATTTATCAGTAGTTCTTACTCATAAAATAATGGGTCCTTCAAAAAGCTCATTTAAATTGCAAAATCTTTAAAACTCATAAAAGTATCTTCTGACACTATTGCCCAAAAATAGGGGATGGTGATACACACTGATAGTCGGCTTGGTGGAATTTGGAAATTTTATTCATAATTCATTCACAGAATATGAAAATTGGTAGAGAAAGGCCTGGCTGGAATATGCTTGTGGGTAGGCAAGCAAGGGTCTAATTGCCTGTGGGCTGATTGGAAAATCCTGAGATTTATTTTGCAGGAATCTGAGAGCATGCAAGTACTATATTATTCCTGAAAATGTCCTATGAGCTGTCACCCTGTGAATCTATCCAATTTATTTTTGATATAGCTCTACTTTCTATATAAGTGTTTTCATTTCCTTTTAAAAATAGGATTCACTTAGTATGATTATTTTAGGTTTGCATTATATATATATATTTTTTAAGTGTTTATTCATACTACTTGATACTGCTGAAAGTTTAGAAATGGATTTTTATTACGGTTGATATAACTCAGTAATTTTTCAGAATTATTGTATTGCCAGATAAAAGGAGTTCAGAATGGCATAGTGCTTTCTGCTTAGACTATATTTTCTGTCCTTCTTGTATGAAAATGATTCATTGAAAGACGGGGATCTTGACAAAGAATTTGCAAATCAGTTCCTTCAGTGAGGTCCAAGCAGGATAATCTAGGGCCTTCCTAGAATTTGCAAGATACACACAAACACACACACACACACACACACACACCGAGAGAGAGAGAGAGAGAGAGAGAGAGAGAGAGAGAGAGAGAAAATGATAGAAAATTAGAGTGACAAATAAGTAACATTTTGGTTAACATAACACCTTACCAATGCCTAGAGCCTCAAGAGGTGGGCATTGCTATTTCCAGAATGAGTGCTATAAACAAAGATGAGTTTTCTGTGGATAAGCTATTATTTATCTGTTATATCAGATACAGTTATATTTGCAAAATATTTTCTGGTAGAAATAATCAATAAACATTGTGCCTTTGTTATTCTGTTTTGTTTTTAAGGTATATGATCTCTATCTTCTCTAAAATTTATGCCCTTTAGGAATTTGAGGCAAATTAACAAGACTTGCTACCATGAAATATCTGTCTTTTTATATACTTCAGTTCTATTCAAATTGATGATCTCACTATGTTTATTTCTATAGCTTGCACACATGGTACTCAGACAGTGGTTTATGGTGAGGTTCTGTTCCAAATGACTTGTTGATATAAATGCTGCAGAAGTGGAAATTGAAGGCAGAGGAACTGAAACGTGTGTAATTGCTTAATCTGACTATTCTAGAACAGTACATAGTTGAATATTTACTTTGAAACCCGCATTCAGTCTTTCAAGATATCAGCAAAGTGCAATGGTGTAGTAGAAATTGCTCAGGCTTTTGAACAGACAGAATTGAATGTGCCACATTAATTTTGTGACAATGGGAATTTAATTAATTTTTATGCACTTCAGTTTCTTTATCTACAAAGCAAAGGTAATAATACTCACCTTGCAGATTTCTTGTATAGATTGTTAATGTATATACAAGTTGTGACACAATTGTTTGAACGTAGTAGATTCTTAGTACATGGCAAATACTATCATTTTACTATAATATAACATTATAAAAATAAATCATAGTTCTTAATTGGAAAAAGACTTTCTCTAATTAGTTTAAACATCAAAACAGCATGTACAGGACAATTTAGAAAGCCATATACATGCTCAGACAAGAGGCATGTTCAGTAAGAACCTGAGAAAACTTTAAGCTTTCACTTCAGGATTATCAGTAGGATGAGTCCAAGCCTAGCTAATGTTGGAAAAAATGCTCCAGCACAAAGCCAGTGTGGAGAAATTGGGAATGGTGGTAGTTCTTTTCTGTTGCTTGTTTGGTTTATCTCCTGGCATTAAAGGGAATCTGTGTCAAAACATTAGCTGAATGCTAACTAAAGAAGCCGAATTCAGTGGGCCCACATAAAAAGAAATGTTCTTTGAAAAAAGAGTTTGGATCAGTCGCAAAATAGTGAACTACTACAGTCTTTAACCATAAAAAATGAGATTATTAGCTGGGTTCTTATTACAAACTTTGGAGGTCAGGAGGAAGTTGGACATTATATTTAAAGTTATGTATATGTATACAGAGAGAGAGACTTGAAAAGGTTCGCGAAAAAATAAAAGATAAAAATAAAACATATAAACTTTATTTCTCAGTACAAACTTTATTAAGTTCAAGACACTTTTGTAAGGGATGATACCAGCCATTTAGTCCATCCGTAAAGAACTGAGGGTCCTGGAAATTTACCAATGTCAGTGTAGTCTTTATTACATTATTAACTGAAGAAAAATAAGTGCCCTTTCCAGATTGTTTTAAGCTCATGAAATAAAAATATGTCAGAAGTGTCCAAAAATGGTAAGGTGGATGCCTAATGATTTACCTTTGAAACTCTCACAAAATTGCCCTTGTTTTATGACAGAAGCGAGCAAGAACATTTTCATGGTGGAGACAGACTCCATAGTGAAGCTTTCCCAGGCATGTGTGTGTGTGTGTGTGTGTGTGTGTGTGTGTGTGTGCTAAATATTTGGGTATTCTCAAAACACTCTCATATTAAGCCGACTGATAGTTCTTTGCCCCTCCAGAAAGTTAACAAGCAAAAATACATTGAGCATTCCAAAACACTGTTGCCCAAACCTCTGCTCTTGAATGTTATACTTTTGCTTTTACTGGATCATTTCCATCCTCAATAGTGATTGGTTTGATTGTCTTTGTCTTCAGGATTGTAATGGTAAAGCCATGTTTCATCTCCTGTTACAATTCTCTGAAGTAATGCTTCAGGACCTTGAGCCTACTTATTAAAAATTTTTATTGAAAGCTCTGCTCTGATTTGCAGCTGATGAGGGTGTAATGATTTTGGCACCCATCAAGTGGGAAGTTTGCTCAACATTAATTTTTCAGTCAGAATTGTGTAAGCTGAACTAATTGATATTTCTATTGTGTTAGCTATTATTTCCGCTGTTAATTATTGCTCGTCTTTAATTAGAGCACAAACAAGATACATTTTTTTTCTCACAAATTGATGTACATAATCTGATACTCGGGGCTTGATCTTCAACACTTTCTCTTCTCTTTTTAAAATGAGTTTATCTATTTGTAAACTGATAATATCTTTGGGGAATTGTCGCCATAAACTTTAGTAAAACATCAGTGATTTTACCATTATTTCACCCAGGCCTCATGATACATTTGTTGTTCTTTCTTGCTTCAATTTTAGCAAAATTTATGTCACTCTTATAGGGGTTCTTTTCAAACTGATGTCTTATAATTCTTGGTCCCTTAAACTAGATCCTGTGCAGACATGTTCTAACAAGTTAATATGAGTTTATTTGTGTATAAAAATTTTTGAAATCCATGCATTGTTTTTTCATAATATACATTTCCATGAACTTTTTGAAGACCTATCATATATATATATACACACATATATATGTAAATATATATATATTTGAAGTTATATATTTGAAAGAAATAAACTGGCAATATGTGAACCTATGGAATATAATAAAGAGCCCAGAAATAACCCCTAACTTTTCTAGTCAATGACTCTTTGACTAGAATTTCAAGACCATTCAAAGTGAAAATATTCTTTTCGGCAAGTTGTCCTAGGAAAACTGTATATACACACTGAAAAGCAATTAGACCATTATCTTATATCATATATAAAAATTAACTGAAAATGGATCAAAAGCTAAACTTAAGATCTAAAATTATAAAACCCTTAGAGGAAAATATGCAGGAAAATTTCTATAATATTGGATTTGATAATAATTTCTTGGATATGACATCAAAAGCAGAGTCAAGAAAAAAAAGTAGAATAATTAGAATGCGTCAAAACTAAAAATTTTTATTCATCAAGTGACCCAATCAAGTCAGTGAAAAGGTGACCCACAGAATGGGAGAACATATCATTAAATAAAATATTGAATAGAATATGAATATGCAGAATAACCAACTTGTACAACCCAACAACAAGAAATCCAATATAAAAATAGGCATTGAACTTAAAAAGACATTTATTCAAAGAAAATGAACTTATGCTCATTAATTGTATGAAATGATGCTCGACAAAACTAATCATAAGGAAAATGCATATAAAAACCCTAATGGGATACCACTTAATGCACATCAGATGGCTATGTGTGTGTGTGTGTGTGTGTGTATATATATATATATATATATATACACACACACACACATATATATATATATATGAAAAATAAATGTTGAAAAGAATATGGAGAAATTGAAACCTTTCTGCTTTGGTGGTGGAAATCTATATGGTGCAGCTCCTGTGGAAACAGTATGACAATTCTTTAGGAAGTTATATGTAGAATTACCATATGATCCAAATATTCTACTTGCAGGTATATAACCAAGAGAATTGAAAGTAGAGACTCAAAAAGGTACTGGTACATGAATGTTCATTATGACATTATTCATAATAACCAAAAGTCAAAAAAATTAAATGTATATTAACAGATTAATGGACAAACTAAATGTGCCATATACATAAAATGGAATATTATTTAGCCTTAAAATCAATTATAAGATATGACAATAATAATCCTTAAAACTGTTATGCTAAATAAAATAGGTCAGATACAAAAGGACAAATATTGTGTGATTCCAGTTATGTGAAGCAACTAGAATGGTGAAATTCACAGATAACGTAAATAGTGGTTGCTACGGGTTGGGGGTATGGAGGAATGGAGAGTTGTTGTTTAATGACTAAAGAGTTTCTATTTGTAATGATGAAAAAGTTTTCTAAATAGATAGTAGTGATGAATTGACAACACTGTGAATGTGTTTAATGCCACTGAATTATTTGATTGTTATTGTTTTAATGTTTTATATATGTAAATATAGTTACATGCAAAGTTATATGTGTATATGGTTATACATTATTATACATACTGTTGTATTTTATCATTATTATGGCTTTAAAACTGCCTTAATTGCTATAAATACTATGGAATCAAGGAGAACAGACCACCATGGTTTTATTTAAGTAAGGTTTCTGAAGATCATAGGGCTGTTAACATTGGATTGAGAGAAGGGAGATTAAAAGTTCAAGAGATAAAATATAGTAGTTGAACAATGAAGTTGGAAGGCATCAAAGGCAAATGTCATCATGTAACAATTACTTTTATTTTCAAAGACACTGATTATAACTTTAAACAGAGATTGTCCAACAAGAAGACTTAACAATCCTAAATATATACGCAACCAACACTGGAGCACTCGGATTAATAAAACAAGTTCTTAGAAACTTACAAATATGCTTAGATATTTACACAATAATAGTGGAAGGCTTAAACACCCTACCAACAGTATGAGACAGATCATTGAGGTAGAAAACTGACAAATATATTTGAGACCTAAATGCAACACTTGAACAAATGAACCTAACACACATCTACAGAACATATCACCCAACAACAGAATGTACTTTCTTCTCATCTGCACATGGAACATACTCTAAGAATGGCCACATGCTTGGCCATAAAGCAATTCTCAACCAATTCAAAAATTAAAAAATATCATACTGACCACACTCTTGGACCATTGTCTCATTAGAATAGAAATCAATACAAATAAGATATCTCAAAACCATCCCTTTACAGGGAAATTAAACAACCTGCCCCTGAATAACTTTTGGGTAAAGAAAGAAACTAAGGCATTAATCAAGAAATTCTTTGAAACTAATGAAAACAAAGATAAAAATATGAAAATCTCTAGAACGCAGCTAAAATAGTATTAAGAGAAAAGTTTGTAACACTAAATGTCTACATCAGAAAATAGATATCAAATTAACAATATAATATTACAGCTAAGCCAAGTAGAAATACAACAGCAAACTAACTCCAAAGCTAGTAGAAGAAAATATAGCCAATGTTAGAGCTGAACTGAATGAAAGTAAGTCATGAAAATTTATACAGAAGATCAATGTAAACAAAAGTTGGTTTTTTGAAAGAATAAATAAGACTGATAGACCACTAGCTATACTAAAGAAGAAAACAAAAAAGAGTAGATCCAAATAAACACAATCAGAAATGACAAATCTGACATTACCACTGACCTCACAAAAATACAAAAAAAATTAATATTAACCCTTAGGAACTATAATGAACTTGTCTATGCACACAAACTAGAGAACTTAGAAGAAACTGATGAATTTCTAGAAACATTCATCCTTCCAAGATTGAACCAGGGAGAAATTAAATATCTAGACAGACCAATAACAAGTTCTGAAATTGAATCTGTAATACCTACCAATCAGAGAAAACCCTTGATCAGATTGATTCACAGCCAAATTCCACCAGACTTATAAAGAACTAGTACTAATCCTACTGACACTATTTCAAATAATTGAGGAGAGACTCCTCCACAACTAATTTTAAAAGGAAATAATTATTCTTACATCAAAACCTGGCCGACACAGAAAGGAGAAAGAAAATTTCAGGTGAGTATCTTTGATGAACATACATGCAAAAATCCTCAACAAAACACTAGAAAATCAAATCCAGCAGCACATCAAAAAGTAATTTGCCACAATCAAGTAGGCTTTATTCCTGGGATGCAAGGTTGGTTCAACACATACAAATAAATAAATTGGATTTATTGTATAAGGAAAACTAAAAACAAAAACCCTATGATCATCTCAGTAAATCCAGAGGAGTGTTTTGATAAAATTCAATATTCCTTTCTGTTAAAAAATTCTCAGCAAACTGGGTTTTGAAGAAGCATACCTCGAAATAATACAAGCCACTTATGACAAATCCACAGCCAACATTATACTGAATGGGCAAAAGCTGGAAGCATTGCCCTTGAGATCCGGTACCAAACAAGGACGCCGTCTCTCACTGCTCCTATTCAACATAGCACTGGAACTCCTAGCCAGCCAGAGCAAACAGGCAAAAGAAAGAAATAAAAGACATCCAAACAGAAACACAGGAAACCAAAGTGTCTCTCTTAACAGAAGATATAATTATATATCTAGAAAACTCCATAGTCTCTTTCCATTTCACTATCAGCATTTTGGTCAAAACCGATAAACAAGCGTCTAGGAAGTTACAAACTTTCCCACATTTTCCTTCTTCTCAGTCCTCCAAACTGTGCCAATCTCTGCCTGTTATCCAGTTCCAAAGTCGTTTCCACATTTTCAGGTTATCTTTATAGCAGTGCACCACTGCCGGTACCAATTCTCTGTATTAGTCCATTTTCACACTGCTATAAAGAAACTATTTGAGACTGGGTAATTTGTAAAAGAAAACAAAAAAAAAGGAGGAAAGACGAAGGAAGAATGGGAAGGAATTTGTCTTGTAGTTTGGGTGCTGGCTCACCTCCAGTAGAATATACCACTAGTTAGCTTTCTAAGGTTTTCAACTCCAGGCTCTGGCTTCTCTATGGCATCTCTGGACCTACTCAGGGCCTGGGGCAACTTGCCACTCTGAAGGGAAGGTCACCAGACTGGCAGGCTCCACCACCTGCTGATTGCAGAGCCTTAGGGCCCTGAGCAAACATAGGAAGAGGCCAGGTAGTGTTTATACCAGACCTTGCACAAGACCCAGTGTTGTGCTGGCTTCAGATTTGACTCAGCATACACCCAGGGGTGGTGGCCAGAGAGGTGCCTGTGTTACTCCTCTCACAGCTCCAGGCAGCTCGACAGAGAGAGAGAGGCTCTGTTTGTTGGGCAGAAAGTAAGAACAAGAGTCTCTGCCTGGTAATCCAGAGAATTATTCTGGATGTTAATTAAAACTACCAAGGCAGTATTTCTATGAGTCTGTAAAAAACACAATGTTTCTGGGCTTGGGGTGATCCCTAATGCACATATGGCTACAGTGACCGAAAATTTAGATGACAACACCCAAATCCCTTCAAATACATGAACAGCCTTCCCAAGAAGAATGGGTGCAAACAAGCCTAGACTGTGAAGACTATAATAAATACCTAACTCTTTAATGCCCAGAGACTGTTGAACACCATAAGCATCAAGACCATCCAGAAAAATATGACCTCACAAAAAATACTGAAAAAAGCACCAGGGACCAATCTTGATAGCAGTGTGAAAATGGACAAATACGATATTGTAGGTGTACTTCATTTTTCTTATTATTTTTTATCTTATCTCTTATGACTGTTTATTTTCAAATAGCCTGTCTTTGAGCTAATTCTTTCTTCTGCTTGATCAATCCTGCTATTAAAAGACTCTGATGTATTCTTCAGTATGTCAAATGAATTTTCAGGTGCAGAATTTTTGCTGGACTCTTGAATTTTGAATATCTTTGGTAAATTTATCTGATAGTATTTCTAATTCCTTCTCTGTGTTGTCTCAAATTTCTTTAATTTTCCTCAAAACAGCTCTTTTGAATTCTCTGTCTGAAATGTCACATATCTCTGTCTCTCTGGGATTGGTCCCTGATACTGGGTAATTTGTGTAGAAAGGAGGTTTAATTGAGTCACATTTCCACATGGCTGGGGAGACCTCAGGAAACTTCCAATCATGGCAGAAGGCAAAGGGGAAGCAAGCATACCTTACATGGTGGCAGGAGAGAGAGAGAGAGAGAGAGAGAGAGAGAGAGAGCAAAGGGGGAGCTGCCAAACAATTTTAAAACTATCAGCTCTCATAGATCACTCACTATCATTAGAACAGCATGGAGGAAACCACACCCGTGATCCAATTACCTCCCACCAGGTCCCATCCTCAATAACATATAAATGGAAACAAAAAATGTTGAAAAGAGGAGGATGATGTTAAAGTGTAGAGTTTACATTAATTTTATCTTTGTTTATGCAGTCAGTGATAAGTTGTCATCAGTTTAAAATAAGATGCTATTTGCAAGCCATGTGGAAACCTCAAATCAAAAAACACAAAATGGATACACAGCATCTAGAAATAAATTAGACAAATCAAAAAACAAGAAAAAAACTCATTAAAAATGGGCAAAGGACGTGAACAGGCACATGCAAATCAAAACAACAAGTAGATACAGGCTTACGCCTGTAATCCCAGCACTTTGGGAGGCCGAGGTGGATGGATCACCTGAGGTCAGGAGTTCAAGACCAGCCTGGCCAACATGGTGAAACCCTGTCTCTACTAAAAATACAAAAATTAGCCAGGCATGGTGGCAGGCACCTGTAATGTAATCCCAGCTACTTGGGAGACTGAAACAGAAGAATCACTTCAATCCAGGAGGCAGAGGTAGCAGTGAGCCAAGACCACACCATTGCACTCCAGCCTGGCCAAGAAGAGTGAAACTCTGTCTCCAGAAAAAAAAAAAAAAAAAAAAAAGGCAAAAAATAAATAACAGATGTTGGTTAGGTTGTGAAGAAAAGGTAATGCTTATGTACAGCTTGTGGGAATGTAAATTTAGTTCAGACCCTGTGCAAAGCAGTCTAGATATTTCTTAGTGAACTTAGAAAAACAATTCGACCCAGCAATCCCATTAATGGGTATATTTCCAAAGGAATATAAATCATTCTACCAAAAAGATACATCCACTTGTATGTTCATTGCTGCACTTTTCACAATGCCAAAACACAGAATCAACCTAAATGCCCATCAATGGTTGACTGGATAAAGAAAATGTTGTACATATACACCATGTAATATTATGCAGCCATAGAAAAAAATGAAATAATGTCCTTTGCAGCAGCATGGATCAAACTGAAGGCCATTATCTTAAGCAAATTAATGCAGTAACAAAAAACCAAATACCACCTGCTTTCACTTATAAGTGGGAGCTAAAAATTGAATACATATGGAAACAAAGAGGGGGACAACAGACACTGATGTCTACTTGAGGGAAAAGGGTGGGAGCATCGTAAGGGTTGAGTAACTACCTATTGGATAGTATGCTCACTACACCTGGGTGATAAAAGCATTTGTATTCCAAACCCCAGTGACATGCAATTTACTCACAGAACACACTTGCACATGTACCCTCTGAATCTAAAAGAAATGTTGAAAATAAAAAAGAACAAAAGACATCACACTCTACCTAAGTGTTTATTCTCTTCATCCTCCTTTATTGTGTACTTCCAGGATGTTATAATAGACGTTTTTCTTGCTGCCATATATATTTCATGTCAGATAACAGTGAATGCATTGTCTTATGAAAATCTCCTTATTTCCTTGTGTTTCTTTGGTGAATGCATTTAAATTTCTTCAAAAACAAAGTTGGTTTTAGAAAATGTATTTCCCTGGACCAGGTAATTAAAAAAAATAAGATATTTATTTTTCACAGTTCTATCGGCTATGAATTCCAAGATTAAGTTGCCAGTAATCTTGGACTGTGTGTCAGTTAAGGACTTGCTCTCTGTTGTCAAGATGGTTTCTGTTGCTGCATTCTCACATTGTAGAAGGGACAAACCCTGTGCCCTTATATGGTGTCCTTAATGTAAATTTTGGAGGTGCATAGACATTCAAGCCATAGCACTTCTGTATCAGTGGTTCTCAAAACCAGCTACACAGAAAAGTCACCTGAAGAAATTACTTTAGAGATTTTTTATTTGTATCCCAGTGTTATTAATTTGGAATCTTGGAAATTGGGCCTGGCAACGTATATTTTTATCACATATTTAAGAATTGTGAGCAGCCATTCTATCCTCAGTCTATGCGGCTTTGTTTTGAACATGCAAACATCAAAAATATTATTATTATTGAGATAGAGTCTTACTCCCTCATCTAGGCTGGAGTGCAGTGGCCTGATCAGGGTTCACTGCAGCAGCCTCGACCTCCTGGGCTCAAGGGATCCTTCCACCTCTCAGTTTCCTGAGTAGCTGGGACTAAAAACGTGCATTACCACACCCAGCTAATTTTTGTACGTTTTTTAGAGACAGGATTTTGCCATGTTGCCAGATTGGTCTAACACTCCTGGGCTCAAGCCATCCACCTGCCTTGGCCTCTCAAATGGCATGAGCCACCATGCCTGGCCCCAAAACATTATTTACCAGGATTATCTGTGTTTGAATAAATGTGTAAGATGATCTAGACATCTAGCTAAGCCTCGAAGGGCTGGTAAAATATGTGCTAAACTATGAATGCTGCATTGCTGAGAAAATGAGAAAAAAATATACCATGTTCTAAAGAATGGGGTGCTGCTTTACAAATACAATGACATAGTGAAGGAGCCTGAATAGCAGGATGACAGCACTGGGCACTTGGAATACATTCACAGCTTACGGTAGACTGCATAACAGTATCCCACAGGGAAGGACATTCACTTTATGTCATCTGCCAAACACGTTGGAGAAATTTCCCATGAAAATGTCATGACGCATTCTGCTAAAGCTTGCTGCTAAAGGTTGAGTGAGTCATGACAACTTAACTCTTTTAGTTATCACAACATTACTTTTTTAAATCAGAGCACTCAGTTTTTTTCCATTTACTTAAGCAGTTACATTTTACTTGAAGTCTCACAATAATCTAGTGAGAAAAGCAGTGTGATAATTATTGCTTTTCAAAGACAAAACTAAAGTGTTGAAATATTTAGTGATTGGATAAATATGCACTTAATTCACTGACAGATACCGGCTTAAGTTAGAAACTGGTGTTGTAACTGCATGCCTCATATATCATCCCAGACTCATTGGTGAGAAGAAATCCCATTGTTACTACCATCTTATTTATATTTTTCCTTTCTTTCCATAGAGCTTCTTTCCATTTGGGGAAAAGTATTCTTTAAAAATCAGACAATTGTAGAACTCAAAATATAACTAATTCCTTTATTTCACAAACACTCTGAATATTGTTATGCCTTTTATTATGAATATGTATGGTGTTATTGTAACTTTACTAGTTGTTTCTATTAACCTTCTCTTAACCTTCCTTTAATGTAGTAATGCCACATTGCTATTCTGTTGGTTCATAATTTTCTATTAAATTATGCAAGTATTTTCAGGGTATTCATAACAACAAATAACCAGAATAAGGTAATAAGTTTAAGTGTGAGTCACGATGATAAGCTATTTGTAAAAGTTTGGGATACCTATACACAAAAGCAGCAATAGTAAGTTTGTGGCTCTCTTCCTTGGTTGGCTAGATTTTTGAGTTGATAGAAATTGGGCTTTTCTGAACAGTATTTGTGACACATATATTCAATGGGCTCCTGTGGTATGTTATGTGTGGATGAACCTATTTTCTTGCTCTAGACATCAGACCTTTAGACCTTTAGGTATTGTCTCCTTCGTAAGTGAATAAAGTTTTAAAAAAGTGTGAACTCCTCTATTAAAATATTGTTCTAAAAAGTTTATTAAATATAGACATATAGCAATAATCATATTTTATATACTGATTTACAATTGTACATACAATAGTGATTAGATTCCATCTTTAAATAAAAGTTATTTTAACTCAATTAATAAAAGCTTATGTTTGTCATTGCACAATATAAATATTTCTAGAGAATACCTCAAAATCATTTGGTAAAGAAATAGTGTAATGACATGTGTGCCTTCTTACTAGCTTACCTTAAATTACTCTTTATTACACACTTATGAATAACTGCTAATCAGTACACAATATATGAATATTGTCTCCCTCTATCTCTAAATATTTTATTGTACCGTACTCATTTGTTTTTGTACCGAAGTTGACCACAGGTAACTGAAACTACAAAAAAAAAAAAAAACAAAACGCCAGATAAGGTTGTGGGGAGGACGACAGCAATGTCTAAAAAAATTCTAAATCTGAGAAGATAAATGAACATTGAGCTTCATGAGTACATTTCCAAACAGACTGAACATAAAAAGATCTACACTAAGACCAAGACACATTATGAGGAGACAAAGAGAGAATTTTGGAAGCAGGAAAAGAAAAATGATGCATCAAATACAAGAAAATATCCATAAAATTATAAGTGATTTTCTCAGCAGAACCCTTATAGGCAAGAAAAATGTAGGATGGTATATTCAAAATATTGAAATAAAAGACTTCCAATAAAGAATACTATACACAGCAAATCTGTGCTTTAGAAATGAAGGAGAAATAATGACTTCTTCATCAAACAAACACTGAAGAAGTCATAAACAGTAGACCTGACTTACAAGATATGCTAAAGGGAGTTCTTTAAGCTGAAATAAAAGGGTTCTAACTAACAACTTTAAAACAACAGTGTGTAAAACTCACTAATACAGGTACATTTATAATCAAATTTTGAAGTCTCTGATATTGTAATGATGATAGTGCATAAATCACTTTCATCTTTAGTATAAAAATTAAAAGACAAATGCATTAAAATAACTATAATCAAAATAACTTGTTAATGGATACACAATATTAAAAAATATAAATTTTAACATCAATAACCTAAAATGTTAGGAAGGAAGAAGTACAACTATAGAGATTTTTCATGCAATCATAGTTAGGTTGCATCAGCTTAAAATGAGATATTATAACTATACAATGTTTTATGCAGGACTCATGGTAACCAAAAAAGAAAAACCTGCAATAGATATATAAAAGATTAAGAAAAAGAAATCATATCATATCACCACAAAAAGCCATCAAATCACAAAGAAAGTCAGGAAGAGGGAAGAAAAAAAACTACAAAGTACAAAACAGTCAAAGAACAATTAGAAAAATGGCAATAGTAAGTCATTGCCTTTCAAGTATTATTTTAAATACAAATGGATTAAATTATCTAATAAAAAGACACACAGTGGTTGAATAGGAAAAAATAAACAAAAAATAAGTGCAGATAACTAAGGCAAAAAAATAAAAAAAAATAGTGCTAAATAAAACTGGAAATCTTTTTTATAGCAAAGAAAATCAACAAAATGAAAAACATATATCTGATAAAGGGCTAATATAAAAATATACGTGGAACTCATACAACTCAATAGGATAATATTATAAAAATAATAATCCAATTAAGAATGGGTAAAAGACCCAAATAAATGTCCTGACATTTTTCAAAGAAGACATGCAAATAGCCTACAATTACATGAAAAGGGGATTAACATAATCATTAGAGAAATACAAATCAAAACTGCAATGAGATATCACCTCACACATTTTAGAATGGCAATTATCAAAAATACAAGAGATAACAAGTGTTGATGAGGATGTGGAAAAAAGGGAACCCTTGCACACTGTTGCTGGGAAAGTAAATTTGTACAACCATTATGAAAACAATATGGAGATTGCCTTAAAAATTAAAGATAGGACTACTGTATGTTCCACCAGTTCTACTTCTGGGCATACATATAAAGAAAACAATATCAGTATCTTAAATAGATATGTCCACTTTCATATTTATTGCAATATTATTTATGATAGCCAAAACACAGAAACAACCTAAGTGTCCATCAACAAACTAATGGTGAAGGTAGTGTATGAATAAAATGGAGTATTATTCATCTATGAAAAGGAAGAACATTCTGCCACTTGTGACAACATGGATGAACTTGGAGGGTACTAGACTAAGTGAAATAAGCCAGTCAAAGAAAGATAAATACTAAATGATCTCATTTGTATGTGGAATCTTAAAAGGTCTAACTCATATAAACAGAATAGAATGATTGTTTCCAGGAGCTAGGGGTGGGAAAATGGGAATGTATTGGTCAAAGGGTAGAAACTTTCAGTTATAAAATAAATAATTTCTGGGGATATAATGTACAGCATAGTGATTATAGTTAATTATACTTGAAATTTGTTGAGAGAATAGATCTTAAGTGTTCTCAGCACACACACACATGTGCACACACACGGTTATTATGTCAGATAATGGATGTGTTAACTTGATTGTGGTAATCATTTTATAATGTATACATGTATCAAATCATCACATTGT
This sequence comes from Homo sapiens, assembly GCF_000001405.40. Classification (NCBI taxonomy): domain Eukaryota; kingdom Metazoa; phylum Chordata; class Mammalia; order Primates; family Hominidae; genus Homo; species Homo sapiens. The sequence continues at coordinate 88,879,854 of NC_000023.11, read as the reverse complement.
CATCAGAAATATATACAAGCTGGATAGGTTCCGAAGCTTCTCTCAACTTTGTTATTTAATGTTTTATAATTGAGGAAACTGTGTTCCAGGACAGTCTTTGCTATTGGCCAATAATGCCTTGTAGGAGAGCACCTGCTTACTTCCTAAAATAATATAAATTTGGAGAAACAATTTCTTCCTTATTCCGTTGAGAAACTTCATGACTTAGTATCAAAGAATAGTGACAATTAGCTGTCAGTATTTACTAAAATATACAACAAGATGATTTTGGATTCAGATTCAGCTTATTAAAGAACCAGATTACACTTTGATAAAAATGTTTTCATTCATATTTTTAGTTATAAATGTGATTTCCAACTGTGGTTCACACCTTTGTGCTGACTAAATGAATAGAAGAATTGTATGTTGTATCTAAGAAAAGTGGTCTGTTGATTGAACTTCAGAATTGTTGTTCTATATAGTATTACCCTTCTAAGCTGGTTTTTCAGTTTTGGTTCTACTGCTATCTAACCCTATTATTTCTCCTTGCCTGGGATTCGTCTTGTGTTTTGTTTTCCTTTCACTTTCTTGAAGTGTCTTATTTATTACATTTTCATTTCAAATGGGGGTACATAATGCCAAAAAGCATTCCAGGATAGCTACTGATAACATGTTCGGTAAAGAAAAAAAACTAACTGTAAGAGATATTTAAGAACATGATGATCTACTACAAACCCTGCAAATAATATCATATGGGTTCCTGCCAACTCCTAAATAAGGTCACCCTCAAGTTATCTCAGTCTATTATACTACCTGATATTCCATATTTCATAATAAATGATTTTGGGTAGCAGGTTATTTTTATTTTCGACTGCTCTTTATTAAAATACAAATGCCCCTAGGAATATAAATATTTTCATTCTTCATTGCTCTGCACAGCAGCACAAATTACTATTTATTTGAAAGTAAAGTACTTTAGAAATAGGACATAGAATTAGATCTTAGAGATAAGATAGAAGTTATTACAAAAGAGTTATTACACAGTGGGCCTGCTTTCCTGGATCTCATCTCTGTAAGATCTTTTAAAATTTCTTTCACATTCCATAACTGCAAGTGAGAGTTTTCCATAACTTGGCAGGCAATATTTTCTAATCTTTGATGTTGAAAATCAGTTAGAAATGCATGTACAGAAAAGGCCTGAGATCATATAATTACTGGAGGGCTGCCTAAATAATAACTCTTGTACCAATAAATCAGAGATATGCCATACTTACTTTCTGTTGTGGGATAGGTTCACCCATAATGATCTCTGGTAACACAACGTTTTGTAACTGCTGTCATTGTAATTCAATTTTCTGTGTTGCACAATTGAGAGAGATGAGCATACATCCATTCAGTCATTTATTCAACATTTATGGGAGTTTATAATGCACCTAGGTGCTGAGGTGAAAATGATGACCAAAATAGATACAGTCCTGCTTTTTAGAGTTTATAATTTAGCAAAGAAAGATACTGAACAAGTAGAAATGTATTAGATGCTGTGAAGAATTCATCACACATTCACTTATGTATCCACTGAATATTCATTGACTGAACATCTGTCTATATGCACATGGCACTATATTTTATGGTTGAGATACAAAAACTAATAAAATGTAGTTTTTTTCTGTTAAAGAGTTTATATTCTGTGCTAGCAATGGTATAGTCAAGTAAAGGAATTATTGCAATACGAAGCACTGTATCTATTACTATAGCAGCATATGTAATGTCATACATTTAACTCAGACTGATGGGAGTGGGAAGATTGTGAGGGGAAGCTTCCTGAAAGAGGCAATATATAAAGTGAGTGTTACAAAATACATAAACGTAAACAAGGGGAAGAAGTGAGGACAGCTCAACAACCTAACAGGAAGAGGATGACCACCTGCAAGTTAACCCAAGGTAATAAAGACAACTAAACTATTTAACGACTGTGTTCTAGCTATTACTAAAAAGTAACATTATAAAACAAGTGAGAAAATGACAATCTTCTACAGCTCCAAATCATATACAATTCATAGACCACAGATGAAGCACTATAAAACAAAACCCAATATCAGAACTATAACATGAACAATGCACAGAGTATATAAATTTCGTGATAGGCTAAAGTGAGAAAGTATTCACATTCTAAACTAGTCATTTCTGTCATATGTATGCAAAGTCAATCCCATTAGTACTGAACTGTACATATACAAATTATTAAGAAGGCAAATTTTGTTATATGTATTTTAGACAAATAAAGGAAAAAGAATAAATATAAATAATCTTACTAGGATTTACCCTCTAGGTTGTAACTGCTTTCTTTTACAACTTTAAACAAGTCATTTAACCTTTTTGAACTTTATATTTTTCCAGCTATAAAAGGAAGTTAACTGTTACAACTCTCTACCTCATCTAGTTGTGACTAATGCAAAAATGCTTTGTGATTTTTGCATGAAAGACTCTATGCAAATTCAAGGTCATAATATCATCTGAGATATAAAATTCGATCATGCTTAATATTATAAAGTAAACAAGCTTAATGACTACATTATATGCGAGCTATTCTAATTCTTACAATGACTAGATGTACATGTTATAATCATACATATTATAAAATTAAAATACGTACCTCTAATACAAAAAACAAAGTTAAAATATACTAGGTACATATAAAATTTTATTCAGATAAAGTTTCTATATTTGAACAACTATTTTCACATTTGTTATTACCATATAAGCAATTTATCAAGTGCACTTATCATTAAATTAAATTCACTTTTCAAAAGTTCATTATTTATTAAGCATAAACATTAAAGACCTAGTTTATACATTATTAAACCTGGGAAGTGCTATTTATATTAATATTTGGAATATTTTCCTGAATTTTACAAGCTTTTCTTATTTCATTGTATAACGGTCTCAATTATATTTTAGTGCAGGAAATTAAATTAATTAAATTAAATATCTGAATATACAAAATGCATTATTAGAATAATGACCTATTGCTATCACATCTTTGTCCATTGTGTAATGGGAAATCAGGAGCAAGAAGTTAGCAGTTATAATAATCAATGGTCATTATGTACTTATGATTAAAAACAACTCTAAATTTTGCTAGCTTCATATTTATGGTATCTTAGTTTGGAAAATGTATTAGACTAAAAGGAGCTCTACAGCTTTTTGGGGATGTAACGTTTCTAGAAATTTTTCTAGGCCAACAAATCATGTTGTGTGAGGGTCCTAGGCACCTCATGGAACCAAAAAAGAGCCCGCATAGTCAAAGCAAGACTAAGCAAAAAGAACAAATCTGGAGGAATCACATTACCTGATTTCAAACTATACTATAAGGCCATAGTCACTAAAACAGCATGGCATTGGTATAAAAATAGGAACATAGACCAATGCAACAGAATAGAGAACCCAGAAGTGAAGCCAAATGCTTACAGCCAACTGATCTTCAACAAAGCAAACAAAAACATAAAGTGGGTGTATTAGTCTGTTTTCATGCTGCTGATAAAGAAACACCCAAGACTGGGCAATTTACAAAAGAAAGGTTTAATTGGACTCACAGTTCCACGTGGCTGGGGAGGCCTAACAATCATGGCAGAAGGCAAGGAGGAGTAAGCCACATTTTACATGGATGGTGGCAGGCAAAGAGAGGGCTTATGCAGAGAAACTCCTGTTTTTAGAGATTGTGATTTTAGAGATCGTGATTTTAGATTTCGTGAGACCCATTCACTATCACCAGAAGAGCACGGGAAAGACCCACCCCCATGATGCAATCATCTCCCGCCAGGTCCCTCCCATAATGTGCAGGAATTATGGGAGCTACCAAATGAGATTTGGGTGGGGACACAGAGTCAAACCATTTAAGTGGGGAAAGGACACCCTATTCAACAAATGGTGCTGGGATAATTGGCAACCAACATGTAGGAGAATTAAAGTGGATCCTCATCTCTCACCTTATACAAAATCAACTCAAGATGGATCAAGGACTTAAGTATAAGACCTGAAACCATAAAAGTTCTAGAAGATAAAATTGGTAAAACCCCTCTACACATCAGCTTAGGCAAGGATTTAATGACCAAGAACCCCAAAGCAAATCTAATAAAAACAAAGGTAAATAGGTGGGACAAAGAGCTTTTGCACAGCAAAAGGAACAGTCAGCAGAATAAACAGACAACCCACAAAGTGGGAGAAAATCTTCACAATTTATACATATGACAAAAAAAAAAAAAACCTAATATCCAGAATCTACAACGAAATCAAACAAATTAGCAAGAAAAAAACCAAACAATCCCATCAAAAAAATTAGCTAAGGATATGAATAGACAATTCTCAAAAGAAGATATACAAATGGCCAACAAACATATGAAAAAAATGCTCAACATCACTAATGATCAGGGAAATTCAAATCAAAACCACAATACGATACCACCATACTCCTGCGAGAATGGCCATAATAAAAAATAAAAATAAAAAATAGATGTTTGTGTTGATGCAGTGCAAAGGGAACACTTCTACACTGCTGGTGGGAATGTAAACTAGTACAACCACTACAGAAAGCAGTGTGGAGATTCCTTAAACAACTAAAAGTAGAACTACCATTTGATCCAGCAATCCCACTACTAGGTATCTACCCAGAGGAAAAGAAGTCATACAAAAAAGATACTTGCACATGCATGTTTATAGCAGCACAATTTGCAATTGCAAAAATGTGGAATCAACCCAACTGCCCATCAATACATCAATCAATCAGTGGATAAAGAAACTGTGATTGATATATATATATATCATATTCATATATATCCATATATCATATTCATATATATATCCATATATCATATTCATATATATATATATGTATAACTCAGCCATAATAAGCAATGAATTAATGGCATTTTCAGCAACCTGGATGGGATTGGAGACTATTATTCTAAGTGCAGTAACTCAGGAATGGAAAACCAAGCATCACATGTTCTCACTCATAAATGGGAGCTAAGCTATGAGGCTGCAAAGGCATAAGAATGGCACAGTGGACTTTCAGGACTCGGGGGAAAGGGTGGGAAAGGAGTGAGAAACAAAAGACTATAAATTGGGTTCAGTGCATAGTGCTCGGGTGATATGTGCACAAAAATTTCACAAATCGTCACTAAAGAACTTACTCATGTAACCAAATACTACCTGTTCCCCAAAAACCTGTGGAAATAAAAAATTAAAAAACAAAAATAATATATATATGAAAAAGGAAGTCAAATATACATGGAAGATGTACAAAGAAGATACCAAAGAGACAAAGGAATACCCTAGAGAAGATGGAAGACAAACTGAAAAACAGGCTGGAATTCAGTATTCTAAAAAATATGATTACCCTCTTCTAACAGAGTCTTTCACTTTTAGTATTCAAAGATTTGCATCCATGGAAACTATAACTATAATGCTAGTAAAAGCAATATTGCTGTTTTAGTATTAAAAATTAAATAAATATGTCTGAAGCTGTTTTTCAAAGATTCCTCAGATTCTTATTATTAAGACCCAACAGAGGTTATGTAGGTATAGCTTGGCTTCAAACTGATTGCAGTTTACATGCACTTTAATTTTACTAACTAGTTATCAAGTTAATCATCAAACCTCACATTTTCATTCTCAGTATTAAGTTACACATAGAAGTTATTTTGCATTTTGGGCCGGGTGCGGTGGCTCAAGCCTGTAATCCCAGCACTTTGGGAGGCCAAGGCGGGCAAATCACAAGGTCAGGAGATCAAGACCATCCTGGTTAACATGGTGAAACCCCGCCTCTACTAAAAAAAAATACAAAAAAAAATTAGCCGGTTGTGGTGGCGGGCGTCTGTAGTTCCAGCTACTCGGGAGGCTGAGGCAGGAGAACGGCATGAACCCGGGAGGCAGAGCTTGCAGTGAGCCGAGATCCCGCCACTGCACTCCAGCCTAGGCGACAGAGCGAGACTCTGTCTCAAAAAAAAAAAAAAGTTATTTTGCATTTTAGCTCTGAAAATGTTCAAATATGGAATGTAACAAGGTGACTTTGCTTTACATACATATGGTACACTCAACCTTTTGCTTTCAGTGTCATCTTAGTCTGCCAGATCTCTAATTTTTTGGTAAGAAAATGGACCAATAGGGTATATTTACAATCATTAATCTTCTTAGTCCCTGCAAATAGTTGTTGACATGTGTCAGGGTTGGCAGATTTACATGGCAGATGAGGATTCTGTTATCAATTACACTTTTCCCATTAGAATTGGTATTAAATAAACTTTAGTTCATCCACTTTTCTTTTTGAAGAAAGTTAACATTCTTTTGGCATTAACAAGAGAATGTCATCAATATTTTAACTCAAAACATAAAATTACATGATTGTAATGAATGGTTTCATCCTGTATTAAAGCAACTAACAATACTATGAGGAGTATTTCCAAAACAGTCTGTTTTTATTGTTACAAAATGTTCATAATATAGAATTTACCATTTTAACAACTTTTAGCTATACAGTTTAGTGGCATTAAGTAAATTTTACATTGTTGTGGAAGAATTACCACCGACCACCTCCAGAACTTTTTTCATCTTCCCAAACTGAAACTCTTTACCAATTAAACAATAGTTCACCATGTCTGCCTTCATCCAGTCTCTGGCACCCACCATTCTACCTTTCTCTATGAATTTGACTACTGTATAAATCTCATATAAGTAACATTTCCTATTATTTGTCCTTTTGTGACTGCCTTACTTCACTTAGTGTAATGTCTTCGAAGTTTGTTTATGATGTAACATGTGTCAGAATTTCCTTTTTTAAGGCTAAATATTATTCCATCATGTACATATACTGTATTTTGTTTGTCCATTCATCCATCAAGGGACATTTTAATTGCTGACACTTTTTAGCTTTTTGAACCATGTTTCTATGAACATGGGTGTGAACATATCCATTTAAATTCCTGATTTCAGTTTTGTGAGGGTATATACTCAGAAGTAAAGTTGCTGGATTATATGCTAATTCTAATTTTAACTTTTTGAAGAACTGCCATACAGTTTTCTACAGAAGTTGCACCATTTTACATTCCCACCGACAATGCACAAAATTTCTAATTTTAAAACATAGCCTTTCGTTTAAAAATGTCTTTATGGGTATATATAAAACAGTTAAGACGAGTAAACGACCTGCTAGGCTCTCTGTTCTCATGCCTCCTCTAACCTTCAATGTTTGGTCTATTTCATCCACAAACAAAAATTTAGATTTGAATAGTTCACCTAATCCAGGAAAAGCTAATGATATCTAGGCCAATGTTCCAGCAACAAACCAGGCAAGGCAAATGATTTATTTTTATGACTTTGTATCCCAGTCGTATTCACTGGTATTATCTCACTTGTGCTTTAGTTTTATTTTTTTATCAACCAATAAATTTCTGCCTTCCTTCACTTAATTCCTGAAACTGTGTTCCAATGCCTGAATATTGACCATTCACTGCTCTGGCTCATTTTCTTGTCAACTAGATCCACTCCCTATAATACATACCCTGCTGTTTATTCCCATATCAACATAGTCATAAGACATAAAATTCAATGCTAATAATTTTGACCATTTATTTCCTTTGTGGAGCAGGTATTCCAATTATATCTTTAACAGAAGGCTTTGAAAAAATTCAGCATTGTTACTTAATTTCAAACAACTTGGAAAGTCCTCAATGGAATCATACCAAGACTATTTCTTGATATACTTGAAGAAGAGATAGAATATTCCCTGGCTATGTCCATTCTTCTACCCAAAATGTTTGCTTCTAGACTGAAATAAGCTTTTGAAAACCACCACTATCAAGAGTCCACTCTTGTGAAAACACCAAACATTAACCTAGTCATGTCTCATGACCTGGTCTAATGGTCTTATTGTCATGTACAGAACCCCCACAGTATATGAAGGCTTTCCAAGAGTAATGCATTCACAGATACTTTTAAATTTATCAGTTTAGAGAATCACATCTTCAAAATATTCTGTTTTCTGATGTTGAGCTCCCTGAGAATGCACCTCTCATGAAGAGAAAATTTCTCTTTCTATATATCCCATTTCACAATTGTCTTTCCTCCACTTTGCAAAAGACAGATAACACTCTTATCTCTTACCATTCTCATATTTTATTATGGTGCACTGTCCCTTAGCGTAGAAAGCAAACAGGAGACAATTCAAAATAATGCTGTCCTTATTGAGAATTGATGACTCTAATTTTCATAAATGTGTTTAATATAGTTGCTGCCTTGGCATCCATTATAGGCCTGACATAAGTTTTTTGGGATGCAGTTTCACCTCACCATGTTTGGTCTAGTTAAAACTTCTCCTCCTTGTGTGCTTGTTTGTGATATATTACCCTTGTCCCTCATCTCACTGAAGCAAAACTCAACATATCCCACAGCTGCTGACCACAGTCAAACCTAATGATCAACACCTGAGTTATGTAAATAAGCTCCTTTCCTTGCACACGCTTTCTTTAAACTAGCCAATCCACAATCCCTGTAAAACAAAACAACAACAACAACAAAAATCTAAGGAATAATGCCTATGATCCTTATTAAAGGCATAGTCTCACAGGTCCTCTCTTTCTCTCTTTCTTACTCCCCACCTACTAATTGAGCTCCCTGCTCAACTAGTGGATGGGCTCTGGACTCATCAGCCCTCCCCCATACTCAGTGGGTACCACTAACCTCTCTGAGATATGTGAGTAATACAATAAATTTCCTCTGCTATATTCATTCGGGTTTTAATCCTTTATTGTGTCTCACCCAACTGACAACACCTGAACCTGATATTCCCTGTAGTCAGGACTCTCCTATAGAGTGGCTATCTTGAAACAGCCACTCTCAAGACAGCGATCTGAAGACCAAATTAAAAAAAAAATTAAAAATAGAAATCACAAGGCTAATGATAGGTAAACAATTTTTTAAGTTACATTATTTATAGTTCTTTACTTAATGTTATCTTATATATAATTAAAAATAAATTGTGAGGATGCATCACTAGAAGATCTTTGACCTACAAGTCAAAAAGTGATTAAAGAAAAGTGACATTGCTATAAAAAATTTCCATTTCTTTACATGTATGAATTTTCTCAGTGCTTCTCTATGTTTTCTCAGTGCTTCTGTCTATCTAAATTGAAATTAAAAATAGAAATTATGTTTAACTTAGTCTCATTCTAGCAATAAGTAATAATCATTCACAGGTACATAAACTAATTGAAAATAAGTCTATCCATCTCATTAGGAAATGCATTTCCAATAAATGTTTAGTATTTAATATTACATATTTAAATATTCTCTCTCTCTCTATATATATATACACATATATATACACATATATATGTGTATATATATGTCTAATGAACAATTTACTACCGCTAATTGTAATGATAGCTTAATCCAGAGTAAAATATCTTATTCCTGAGAGGCTTAATGCTACAGGAAATTTTTTAAAAGTTAACTTATACACATATTTTATTTCCAAAGAGTATGTTAGGGTCATGTATAAAATACTCTCAGGCATAAAATACATTGTCATAAGATAAAATTTTGTGGGGGAAATGAAATGGAAATACAAGTTCAATAAGCAGGATAAAAACGTAAAATATCCATCTGACAAAAATGAACTTGTTCACTCATTTTTAAATGGACAATAGTGTGTATTATATTGATGATGTGGCATTTATATTCCTATAAATTCATTTAAAAGAGTATTGTAATGTTTTGTTTTAAAATTTAATATTTACAATATTCTAGTGATTACAAGTATTGCAACTATTTAAACCAATGATCACGTTTTAGATGTCAATTTAAAAATATGCAAGGGGAGAACATTTACAAAACTCTTATAGAAGGTACTGCAAGATATTTGAAGATCATTGATCTTGCCAAGTCTTCAACATTGGATGTATATTTTTTCAAAACATTGAGTATATATCACCTATGTTTTTCAACTTATTCTGCCTCTACCTTTTCTTAGCACAGAAAGATGACTGCCACTGCCCTAAGTAGTTCTCCAGGCTTCCAAATTTATATCAGTGTATCTTCATTAATAGAGTAACTAATTTGCTACAAAAACAGATCCTGCCTGCAAGGGATGCAATGTATGGCTACATAGTATATACACTGAACAACACTAAGGGACCATTTACATAGGCTATAATGTAATAATACCTTCTGAAGTTTTGCTACATGGCATCCTCCCCCTACATAAAATAAAATATGAACAAACAAAATCTCATATGCCAGAGAAATTCAATTAAACCTCTCAAGCTCACCTGCGTGACCCTTTCCAAAGTGATGAAATTCTCCAAAGTATTCCTTTGGAGTATAAGCCATAATTTCTTCTGTGACCTAAGAGCAGATACAACTAGCTGGTTTACGGTTCAGTAGTAATGTGTAATAAATCAGTATTAGTCAATCAGGAAGCAATTTGTCAAGTAATTCTATAGTTCCACTCTTTAACTTCCAAGAAGTTCTTTCTCTCCCTGGAAAGAATGATGGTTCGTGCCTAAGTCTCCCAAATCATCCAAGACAATCACTTCAATTTTCCTTTGAAATGTACCTATACATAATGGCTGCAAAAGGTAGGGGATATAATAAGAGAAAGATCTGTCATAAACTAGGTTATTTCTGAGTTATCAGGTCCAGTTAGCAGAGCCAAAGTAGGATATTGAGTTAACATGGATGGTCCTTCCAACAGATTCAAAATAGTGATGGCTATAATTTCTAAAGAAATTGAGACAGAAAGCGCTTAAAGATGAGTGGGATAAAGTCTTCAGGTTACTTTACCACATGCATTATTAAGGGAGGCAAGTTTGACCTTAAGGGGATGACCTTGGAAGATGAAAAGCCTTATATGTTATAATGGTTTGTGTTCCTCCAAAAGACTATACTACTTCAAGAATATGCAATAAATTCGCAGTATTAAAATTTGGTGGGGATGGGGGAAAACTAGTGATTAGGAAAAAAAGTTTAAAAAGACTCCTTATGGGACAATAATGAAAAAAGATTGAGTTTTTAAAAACTGATTTACAGACATTTTCTGGTACCTCTCTTTCCAAAATAATGAAACATATTGTTGAGAAACCAGCATCTAAATTGGAAGTACAAAATAAGACATGATTACATCTTTTACCTAAAAGCTTTGTCAATGTATAATCTGTTGTACCCTGGAGTCATAGATTAATAGAGTCTTCTTCTACACTGAACTAACTGGACTTACGAAGACCAGCCTTGAAAACTGAAACACAAGCTTCTAAAGTTGTAGACGAAAGGTTTTAGGAAACTTACCCCATTATGTCAAACTTCTTTTAGAAGTATTCAGATTGTCTCACGGTAATCAAGAAGAAAAAACTGTACCTAGGCCTGGGACTAACATCTTCACTTATGACACTGAGTAAAGGGAAAGAACAATAACGTTGACTCATAGAGGGAAAGATGTTAATTTTAAATACACAGGCCATGGGGTCTGCTAGCTATCTCCCAGTACCCATTCTATTTTTATCTCTTTTGTAATAGAATCCTCACATTTTAACTGGACTCATGGCCACCAGCTAAAAATATTTGTAAGCCTCCATTGCAGTAGAGGCAGCCATGTAAATTGAAGTGATGTGTGCAACTTCAGAGTAGTATCCTTAAAGAGTAGGGGATTACCCTCCATTTTCCCTTTTCTCCCTCCCACTGGCTAGAATACAAACATAAAGAATGGAGCTAAAGCAGAAATCTTAATCTATGAAATGAAAGTCACAATTGAAAATGATAGAACATTAAGGTAGTAGCGGCCCTGACAAAGTAAAGCAACCATATTAGCTCTGTAATTTACATTCAGACTATTATTTAGACTTCCATCCTGCTTTAAGTCATGATTCTTTCAGTATTTGTTACAGCTTCTGAACTTGGATCCTAATTAATATAATCATACCTAGATTTGATTGTTTTTGTCACCACTTATTAATTATATAGCTTTGGACCTATTATTTAGTCTCCTTATGAACTTGGAGCCTAATTAATATAATCATACCTAGATTTGATTGTTTATGTCACCACTTATTAATTATATAGCTTTGGACCTACTATTTAGTCTCCTTAAAACATGCCATTATTTTCTGTAAAATTAAGGTAATAACATTCACTTCACAGGAATTTTTAGGGGATGAAGGAAGATACTCTGTTTAAGGTACCTAACACAATAACTGGCACAAGAATGAACACTTTTCCTCTTCTTTTTTTAATTTATCCACAACTGGACATGCAGCTCAGTACACAGATTCAGTATTTCATTTTGCAGTTATTCCCAAGTGAAAAAATAATTCAGGCTTGTTGGTTCACCTCTACCCAAATATTCTGAAGGTCCAGAGTCTTATTTATGACACTTTTAATTCCATGCACTTAGTCTTTCTTATTTTTCCACTATTCTGACCTCTCCCTTTATCCACTAGTAAGACCACTCTTTATTTTTTTGCCACAGCCTTATGAGTCTGACAGTCATTTGCATATTTGCCAACTTTAGTCTGGTACTTCCTAGGTTCCTAGTGCCCACAGAGTCATATCTACACAAGGACGTACACAAAGCATATAAAGATATTGGAATGCATTTGGTCAACCAACCATCACTTTTAATGTGAGGTGAAACTGTAGTGAATTATAATTCAATGATGTAATTTAATCAGCAATAAACACTGTAGATAAACTTCCCAGTGACAAGCAAACTTCCTGACCCGATGGACATTGAAACACATACCAATGTCATAATTCTAAATAATAAATGACTTCCATCACCTCTGAAGTAGTAGGTATTTTCATATCAACTTGAAAATAAACATACATTTCAGGCTTGAATTGAATATGGATAGAATTGTATAGAAATTTCATTTCTACTATTAAAGTGACACAATTTTTCAGGCCTGGAATAATATTTGTGATGTACGTATGTCATCCCCAAATTTTGAGAAGCCAAATTTTAGCAAAATTCTTCCAATTAATTTCAAACATTAACAACAGCATTTTTTTCCATGATCTAAACAGAAGGCTGAATTGACAGATGTGTAGTAAAATCAAGTAAATTCAATTTTAATGTATTTATTCAAATCAATTATAAGAAATAAACAAATCTGTGCTTATGATGCTCTGTACTATTTTTGCACTTGTTTCAATTTCAGTAACATTGCCATCTGCTGTATTAAATGGAACTATTTGAATTATAAACTCTCTGTTCTACTAATATCTCTTTTGGAGATAAAATCCCTTCCTGTATATTAGAAGCCAGATATTATTCACAAAAATATGAGTACTATTGAAAGTTTCTTTTATTTCGTAATTTGTTATAAAGAGAGTCTGCTGGAGTATGATTTGTTCTGTAATTTTAAATTTATACAAGAACACAACCATGAAAGGCAAATATATTCAGGGAGCTAAATGACAGGATCAAAATAGCATGTCCTGTGTCAAAGATAAGTATCGACAAAGGAGAGTGGAAAATTTCAAACCAATAATATTGATTCGGAAATGATAATAAGAAGCAATGAAGCCATTCACAAATGCAGTGCGGTAAAGTGATTCTGTTCTCCGACCCCTTTGCGCGCGCGCACACACACACACACACGAACACACAAAAAAATAAAGAAAATGCTACTTTGAAAACAGCAAGAAATAGCACTTTCAGTGTTTTAATTGTAAAATGAAGCTTTCCCATTTTAAGGAAAAATAGTCAAAAGGATTATTGTATTATATCAGTTACTATATTAGTGTATGTTACAGATTCAATTGTGTTCCCCTCAAACTTATTTGTTGAAATCCTATCCCCCAGTACCTCAAGATGCGACTTTATTTGAAAATTGGGTCTTCAAAGAGTAATCAAGTTCAAATAAAGTCGCTAGGGTGGGACCTAATTCAATATGACTTGTAGGCTTAAAATAAGAAGAAATTTGAACACAGAAACCCGCATAGAAGGAAGAACATGTGAAGAGACATAGATATGATACCGATCTGAAAGCGAAAGAGAAAGCCATCAAGAGAAAGGCTTCCTTCCTTTACATCCCTCAGAAGGAACCAACCTTCACCTGCTTTGATTTTGGACTTTTAGCCTCCAAAATTGTGAGACTTTTCAGTTCATTTCTGTTGTTTAAGTCACCCAATCTGTGGTAGTTTGTTATAGGCGCCCTAACAAGCTAACACAGTGGGTAAGGACAACTACAGTGTGTCTGTATGTAAACCATGACATACTAATCAAACAAATAATCTTACAAGCTTAATATCCATTGATTTGGTCACTGGGCAATAAATATGGTTGTCAACCTCAAAAAGTTTCCTATAGAAAGTTATGTTTCTGGCATCTACTGATTCATCTAAAACTTTCTTGAATGTAATATTTTCCCTTGTTCTCTTTTTGTGGTAGTATACTGCAGAAGTTTATTACTCTATTTGTAAAATAAAAATTTCATTTATGTGTTCTGCATGCATATTAAATTTCGAAGGACATCTTTTTGCTCTATTATGAGAAAAAAGATGCAAGTTTAACCTATCTTATGGCCATATGACCACATAATTTTTTTCAGTTCTACCTTCAAACTTTTCTTTAACTGACACTTTCAGTTTTTTATCTACACAAAAATGGAAAACCTCTCCACATACATAATTATTACTGACTTTGTTATTTTCAACTGTGAGTTTGTTTTCTGTTACATTTTGCTTTTGGAGAAGCATTTCTCTTGAATTTCCATTCGTATTTCACTTACGCTTAGAGCCAAAGCAGAGAGTTATGCCTTTAGACATTTTGCCTTATCCGAAGTAACTTGGTAAGATTTCTACTACTTTTCCTTTTGGCTTTTCTCACTTTCCTTCTGTTGCTGGGTGCTACTCCTATGTTCTTCCTTCATCTCCACATCCACAACATATTCATTAAGTGCCAGGTACTTAAGGAATGTTTTATTTCACAGTATTATTACTGAATGAAACACCTGATTGTTTGCTGCTATTGCAAATACTGCAATATGTAATGAAATATGTGCTTGTTTGCTGCTTGTTGCTGCTAGGACTATTTCTCCTAAGACAATAGATGTTTGGGAAATTTTCATGTTTTTTCAAAGATAGTACAAACAGATTTTACTTAGCAACTACTGACAGTAAAGAAAGAGCTGAGCTCCACTCAGATTTGTTCGCAGGTGACTGGAGAGTTTAAAACAAGAATGAGAGAGAAGGGAGGGAGAGTGAATGGGGGATTAAGTAAAAAATTAGAAAGGGTTACTCAGTGTAAGTATGATGAGGCCAGCTGTGTCTGCTTGCTGGTGTGTCCGGAATTGGTGGGTTCTTGGTCTGGCTGACTTCAAGAATGAAGCTGTGGACCCTGCTGTTACAGGTCTTAAAGGCTGGGCGTCTGGAGTTGTTCCTTTCTTCTGGTGGGTTTGTGGTCTTGCTAGCCTCAGGAGCAAAGCTACAGACCTTCACCGTGAGTGTTACAGCTCATAAAGGCAGCACAGTCCCTAAGAGTGAGCAGCAATAAGATTTACTGGCAAGGGCAAAAGAACAAAAGCTCCACAGAGTGGAACGAATGCCAGCGGGTTGCCACTGCCGGCTGGGTGGCCTGCTTTTATTCCCTTATCTGGCCCCACCCACATCCTGCTGATTGGTCCATTTTACAGAGAGCTGATTGGTCCGTTTTGACAGAGTGCTGATTGGTGCGTTTACAAACCTTTAGCTAGACAGAAAAGTTCTCCAAGTCCCTACCCATCTTGGAAGCCCAGCCGGCTTCACCTCTCACTGGCACTCGCCACTGGCACTCCGGCAGCCCAGAGGGAGCTCATTACCCGATCAACCCCAGCACGTGCCAGCCCCAGCATGCCCAGCCGGCGGCGCCGAGTGCGGGCCTGAGGAGCCCACCCGCGCCCACCGAGAAGCGGCGCCAACAGTGGTGCACGCAGCCCCGGCGGAGCCGACACTTCCCCCTCCACACTTCCCCCTCCACACCTCCCCCGCGAGCAGAGGGAGCTGGCTCCGGCCTCGTCCAGCCCCAGAGAGGGGCCCCCACAGCTCAGTGGCAGGCTGAAGGGCTCCTCCAGCGCGGCCAGAGCAGACGCGAAGGCCGAGGAGGCGCCCAGAGCAAGCAAGGGCTGCTAGCACGTTGTCACCTCTCACTGGCAACAATCAAAGTTAAGGTTCTATCCTGGCAAAGAGACTGGACAACAGAGACCCTATCCTTCTGAATTATTACATTTGAAATGATTGATTTTCAAATCCTTGAGAAAGACACTCCAGAATCTTAGAGATTTGTATACATCTCAAGGAGACAGAGTAAAGATTTACAATTGTAAGACCTTTTTGGTAAATGTTCTTAGAAAGGGAGGTAAGAGGCCTATCACCAGGTATGGAATAGAACAAACAGTTCTCCTGCAGCATTGAGCTTTCTAGGGAAGGCTTTGTTTTTTCCAATTTTTATTTTTTTAAATTGATGAATACAAATTGCATATATTTATGGTGTACAACATGGTGTTTTGAAATACGTATACATTGTGGAATGACTAAATCAAGCCAATTAACATATCCATTACCTCACATACTTACCAGGCATGTGAGAACACTTCAAATGTACTCTCATTAATGTTCAAGTGCACAGTACAATGTTTTTATAGTAACCATGTTGTACAATAGATCTCTTTTTAGTAGGGGTCTGGGATGATCTTAGGGACATGGCCTTATGCTATTAGAAGCCATGCCAGGGTTTGGTCATCTCTTTGTACAGAGGTTTAGACTGAATGAGAGAGTTCTGCAAACCTTACTCTATTTTCATAGATTTACAGCTTGAGTTTAATAGCTGAAGAACGCCCATATCTTATAGATGTTGTTGACATAAGCGGTAGGATTTTGAAGCATCTGGTTAAAAAAGACTGCCTGACTGTTGGTGGAAATTGAGTTAGTAAAGCCACTATGAAAAAAAGTATGAAGATTTCTCACAAAACTAACCCAGCAATCCCATTACTGAGCATTTATCCAAAGCAAAGGAAATTAGAATATCAAAAGGATAATACACCCCTATATTTATTGCAGCACTATTCAGAATAGCAAAAATATGGAATCAACCTGTATCAATCAATGGATGAATGCATAAAGAAAATGTGGTATGTATACACAATGCAATACCGTTTGCTCATAAAAAAGAATGAAAGCATGTAATTTGCAACAACATGGATGTAACTGCAAATCATTATGAAATAAGCCAGTCACAGAATTACGAATATCACATGTTCTCATTCATATGTGGGAGCTCTAAAAATTGATCTCATTAAGATAGAAGAATGATAGATAACAGAAGCTGGAAAGTGTATTTGGGTTGGGGGGATGAAGAGAGATTAGTTAATGGATACAAACGTACAGTTAGATAGAATAAGTTATAATGTTTGATAGCAGAATAGAGTGACTATAGTTAACAATAATGTATTGTCAATTTGAAAACAGCTGGAACAGAAGACTTCAAATGTTCCTAACACACAAATGATAAATATTCAACGTGAAGGATATTCTAAATATTCTGAATTATCATTACATATTCTATGCATATAACAGAATATCACATGTACCCCATAAACATGTAAAAATATTAAGTATTAATTTAAAAAGTAACATTCTGAAGCGTCACTTAACATCAGTCTAGGGAACATGTAAATTTTAATTTAAATATTTTTATTTATAATTTTTACTTCCTGTCAAGTAAAAGTGAAAAATCAACATATGTTTATAATCACTTGCTTACCAAACTGGATTGTAGGACGTTAAACATTTACTGAATGCCTTCTATATGTCAGACATAAATAATTTTTACTCCATCAGTTTATTCAATATAACACAGTCAGGCAAGTATTGTGCTTCTATTTTATAAGCAAATAAACTGAGATGGAGAATGCATAAATATTTAATGTCATTCAGCTGATAAAAAGCAGAGACTGGTATTTGGTATAGTTCTGTTTAGCTCCAATGTGGGTACCAAAATTATTATAAAAGAAATATAAAGAGTGGTTTCCATTCTCAAACTGACATATATCGAGTTGCCTCCTTAACACTAAGTTCAGTTGTCAATTCTCAGCCCTCATCCTACTCTTTCTGTACTTGACCAAGTTAATTACTCCTTCCTTTATGAAAATGGGGAAAAAATTAAATTGTGGCATAACACATACTTAGAGAAAATGGACCTGAAATGTAAATTGAGAGTTTAAAATACATTCATAAATACCTGTAAACATCAGAGAGAACCTGGCTTTTTCTCAGAGTCCTGGCTTTTATGGTACTATTTCTTCTCACATCTCTTTGCAATTTTACCAACTATATTTGCATTCCTACATACTACCCTTTATGTTTTACCTGTTACTGAACTTTACATAAATGTAGAATTGCTTACATTCTCCTGTGTCTTGATTTTTCACCCTATATTATGTTTGTATTTATCATTTTGTTTTGCATTTTTACTGTTGTATAATATTCCCTAGGCTCAATATATCAAAATTTAGAATACCACTATAGTTTAATATTTCAAATGTACAGTTTCTGATAATTACAAATGATATTTCTAAGAATATTTTTGAAACAGTAGTCTCACATTAATGTTAATGAGCTTTTCTATGTGTGTAACTTGCAGTTAAACTGACTGGTATTAGGATATGCATATCCTCAAATTTTCTGGAAAATAGCAATTATTTTTTGGTGGGAGGTCATAGAAATTTAAAGTCCAACCATCAGATTACATGAGATTGTGTTTCCCTACATTCTTAATACATAATAGTGTTATTTTTATTATTTTTGTAATATCTGCCCTAAAGCTCCTAGATCTGAAATTTTAAAATTGATTTTGCCAGCCAGCAAACATGGGGGTATACACAGCTATCTTATTTTGGTTTTAATTTACATTTCCCTGAATACTAATGAATTTTCAAAATTTATTTTTATTTATTTATTTGAGACAGGGTTTTACTCTGTTTTCCAGGCTGGAGTGCAATGGCACAACCACAGCTGACTGCAGCCTTGACCCCTTGGTCTCAAGTGACCCTTCCACCTCAACCGACTGAATAGCTAGGTGGAACTCCTAGCTATTCCACCACACCCATCTAATTTTTCTTTTTGATTTTTTTTTTTTTTTTTTTTTTTTTTTTTTTTTTTGTAGAGGGGGGATCTCACTATGTTATCCAGGCTGGTTTCAAACTACTGGGCTCAAGGGATCCTTTTACCTCAGCCTCCCAAAATGCTGGGATTATAGGTGTGAGCTACTGTGCCTTGTCTACTAATGAATTTAAGAATCATTTTATAATTTAATTTTACACATTATTTGGATATTTTCTTTCATAACGTATATCTTCATGTCTTTTGCTATTTTTGTACTAGGATCTCTCTCTTTTTCTCTCTGTCTGGGTGAAGTGCAGTGGCACAATCTCAGCTCACTGTAAGCTCCGCCTCCTGGGTTCACGCCATTCTCCTGCCTCAGCCTCCAGACTGGGGCTACAGGCGCCCGCCACCGCACCCGGCTAATTTGTTGTATGTTTAGTGGAGACGGGGTTTCACCGTGTTAGCCAGGATGGTCTCGGTCTCCTGACCTCGAGTTACGCATGCCTCGGCCTCCCAAAGTGCTGAGATTACAGGCGTAAACCACCACACCCAGCCTATCTGTTTTTATACTAGTCCTTTTTTGGTCGTAACTTTTTCACATATATTCATTCACTTCATGGCTTGTCTTTTCATTCTTTTTTGCTGTCTTTTGGTGAACAGAGGTTCTTCATTTTTCTCCAGTCAGATTCAGCCATGTTTTCCTTTATGGTGAATGCTTTACATGTTTTGTTTAGAAAATCTTACCCTACTCTAAATTCAATATAATATTTTCCTTCAATTTATTCGAAGCTTTTACATTTTTACCTTTCACTATTTTGTATTACTAGAACTGAAATTGATATTTGTGTATGGTGTAGTAATGAGATCCAATTTCATTTTCTTCCATATATTTAACCAGGTTTCTCACCACAATTCATTGAAAAGACTCTTCTATTCCCATTGCTTTAAGTGCCATTTTGGTCATAAATAAAGTATCTATATATAGGCAATCTATAATCTCCTTACCTATTTTTTAGTCCTTTAAAAAATATGTAATCTGCTGTTGAATTCACTATTATATAGACATTATTTATGTAAAGTCTTCTAATTCTTGTTTAAAGTTTCTTTATCTTTACTACTTGCTCTATGAATTTTTGAGAAAAATGTATTAAAATCACTAACTGATTTTTTTGCTATTTCTCTATTAATTGTCATTTTCACCTTATTTACTTTGAGACTATATTAAGTACATTAAAATTTAGAATTAATATTTTCTTGGTGAGATAAACATTGCAGTGTGATTAAGGGAAGTTCTTTAATGCTAACAATGTCTTTTGTCCTAAGAATATTTTGTTTGATATTAATATAGCTTTCTTGTCACTAATACTTTCATAGAATTTTTTGATAATTATTTTTGCAACATTTCTGTGCCTTTATGCTATAATTATTTAAAATTTTACCTCATGACTTAACTTCAGAATTTGGTTTTTACTTAACACAACTAATAATATTGAAAGTAATGTTATTAATAATTCAGCAGCACATCAAAAAGCTAACTCACTAAAATCAAATAGGCTTCATTTCTGGGACACAAGGTTGGTTCAACACACGCGAATTAGAGAACATAATTCATCTCATAAACAGAGCTCAAAACAGAAGCCACAGAATTTTCTTAACATATGGAGGAAAGGCTTATGATAAAATTCAATATCTCTTTATGTTCAAAACTCTTAATAAATTATACATTGTAGGAACATACCCTAAACCAATAAGAGCCATCTATTACAGACTCTCAGCCAGCATCATACTGAATAGGCAAAAGTTGTAAGCAGTCCCCATTAAGACCAGCGCAAGACAAGGATGCCCCCTTTTACCACTCCTATTCAACATAGCACTGGAAATCCTGGTCAGAGCAATCAGGCAAGAGAAAGAAGTAAAGACATCCAAATAGGAAGAGAGGATGTCAAACTACCCCTGCTTTCAGAAAACATTATTCTATACCTAGAAAACCCCATAGTATCTGCCCTAAAGCTCCTAGATCTGAAAAACAACCTCAACAAAATTTCAGGAAAAAGAAAATCAATGTACAAAAAATTACTAGCATTCCTATACACCAACAACCTCCAAGCTCAGAGCCAAATCAATAATTTTATTTCATTCACAATAGCCACAAAAAGAACAAAATAGCTAGGTATACAGCTAAACAGGGAGGTAAAGTATTACTACAATGAAAATTACAAAACACTGCTCAAAGAAATCAGAGATGACACAAACATGGAAAAATCATGCTCATGGACAGGAAGAATTAATATTGTTAAAATAGCCATATTGCCCAAAGCAATTTACAATTTAAATGCTATTCCTGTCAACCTACCAATTGCATTTTTTCACATAATTAAAAAATAAAGTACTCTAAAATTTACACAGAACCAAAAAAGAGCCTGAATATCCAAGGCAATCCTATGCAAAAAGAACAAAGCTGGAGGCATCACGTCACTCGACTTCAAACTATATTAAAATACTACAGTAAGCAAAACAGCATGGCACTCATAAAAATACAGACACACAGACAAATGGAACAGAATGCAGAGCTTAGAAATAATGCTGCACACTTACAACCATCTGATCTTTGACAAAACTGACAAAATCAAGCAATGGCTAAAAGACTCTCTATTCAATAAATGGTGCTGGGATAACTGGTTAGTCATATATAGATAATTGAAACTGAAACTCTTAATACAACTGAGTTGTATTAAAACCAGCTCAAGATAGATTAAAGACTTCACTTTAAAATGTAAAACTATAAAAATCCTGAAAGCAAACCTAGGAAATACCATTCTGGACATATGACCTGGCAAAGATTTTATAACAAAGATGCCAAAAGTATTTGAAACAAGAACAAAAAATAGACAATTAGACAAATGGGACCTAAACAAACTGAAGGGCTTTTGAACAGCAAAAGAAACTATCAACAGAGTAAAGAGACATCCTTCAGAGGGGAGAAAATATTTGCAAACTACGCATCTGGCAAAAGTTTAATATCCACAATCTATTAGAAACTCAAACAAATTTACAAGCGCACACACAAACATTAAAAAGTGGGCAAAGTACATGAACAGACACTTCTCAAAAGAAGACACACATGCAGCCAAAAAGCATAAAAAAATGTTCAACGGCACTAATTATTAGAAAAACACAAACCACAATGAGTTACCTTTCACATCAGTCAGCATGACTACGATTAAAAAGTCTAAAAACAATAGATGCTGGCCAGGCTGCGGAGAAAAGGGAACATTTATACATTGCTGGTGAGAGTGCAAATTAGTTCAGCCACTGTGGAAGACAGTGTGCTGGTTTCTCAAATATCTTAAAACAATTACCATTTGACCCAGCAAACCTATTATTTGGTATATACCCAAAGGAATATAATTTATTGTACCATAAAACAGATGCACACACATGTTTATTGCAGCACTATTCACAATAGCAAAGACATGGATTCAACCTAAATGCCCATCAACACTATACTGGATAAAGAAAATGTGGTAAATATACATCATGGAATACTATGCATCCTTAAAAAAGAATTGGATCATGTCCTTTGCAGCCATATGGATAGAGCTGGAGACGATTATCCTAAGCAAACTAACCAGGAACAGAAAACCAAATACCTTATGTTCTCACTTATAAATGGAAGTTACACAAGAAGAACACATGGACACAAATAGGGGAACAACAGACACTGGGGCCTACTTGAAGATGAAGGGTAGGAGAAGAAAGAGGATTAAAAAATACTTATTAAGTACTTTGTTTTTCTGTGTGACTAAATAATCTGTACACCGAAACCCCATGACATGCAGGTTACCTATGTAACAATCCTGCACATGTACCCTTAAACCCAAAATAAATGTTAAAAGAAAGAAAACAGTACATTTAAAAAGAAAAAAAGAAAGTAATGTTACTAGAAAAGAGAGGATTCTTGGATCTCATGCAGGAAAAAATTCAAAATGAGTCAGAATTCAGTGAAAAAGGCAAGTTTATTAGAAATTACTCTGTTACAGAGTAAGGCATCCTCAGAAAGCAAGTGGAAAAATGCACCATCTTTGTTTTAAGTTTCTCTTATATAGGGGTCTTGTCTATGTAAAAACTAAACTAAGCTGTGCCTCTGGGTGGGTGGACTGACAGCATGACAACATTTATTATTTTATTGACTTAAGGAGAACTATCCTTGACAATTTATTGTGTGGAGTACAGGAAAGCATATCTATAATGATCTTGAAAGCATATATTGTTATGGGTCTTGGGACACTTTGATTTTCGGTTATTTTAAGAGTTTGTCCTTGCAGGCGTTACCAAGCTGCTTCCTTAGCTGTAAACATCTTAGGACCATGGGTCATGACTGGCAAGACATATGCCTTGCTAGTTTTAAGATGGTGTCACTCTGGCTTTCTTAGGTTCCTGCTTCCTAACTTTTCCCTCTCTATTTATGAAAGAATTCTTACTCTTAAGGGGAGATGAAGGGCAAGACTCATTCTTCTGTAACTTATTCCTTCTGACAGTGGAAATTGATCACTGGGACAGAGTCCTCTATAAGAGTTTACAGTGAGCCTCTTCAGGGAGCTATAAAGTTTCTTGCATGTGTGATGTCCCAATAGATCCTAGAAAGTCAATACACTAGGTTAGTAAGTAAATGAGCAAAGAAGCAACTGAGCTATTTTATCTTGTAGCCATATACAACAAGCACAACAGAAATAAATAGCACAATTATTAATAATAAAGAATACTATAATACTAAGCATGGCAAAAAAAATGCTTTCCAAATGCTGGAGAGCTGATGAAACCATGCCATTATGAGGTCTTGAGACAGGGAATCAATTACTAAGATATGAGTTTCCAGGGATCTTATAGCCTGGGATATATTATGGGAGTAATCAGAAATATAAACACAACATTTAGTTTTAATCAAGGCACACATTCCCCCTGGGCTGCAGTTAAAATATCTAAAGTAATACATGTTTGTAGACTTACTTGTCTTATTTGGAACTATTCTTCTGTTAGAAGGGTGATGATAGCCTGATTAGTGTTTATTGAAAGCTGCAGCAATGTGTTCTGCTAAGGCTTCTACCTGAAATTCAATGTCCACAGCTGCTGCCGGAGAAGAGAATATTGTCATAGGATAAAAGCACTGAGAAGCCTGCTTTGTTGTCTATAAGCATTGACTGTTTCCCAGTTGGTGACGAGGGAATCTAGATGTATAAAGGATATGTCCTGGAAGTTAGGGACAACCCCAAGTACATCGTCCAGTTCAATTGTAGTATAGGATGGCCAAACATGAGACCCACATGCCCATAACAATTCCCAAGAAGAAGATTGGGCACCTGTATTAGTCTGTTCTCATGCTGCTAATGAAGACATACCTGAGACTGGGTAATTTATAGAGGAAAGAGGTTTAATTGACTTACAGTTCCACATGGCTAAGCATGCCTCACAGTCATGGTGGAAGGCAAATGAAGAGAAAAGTCACGTCTGACGTGGTGGCAGGCAAAAGAACATGTGCAGGGGAACTCCCCTTTATAAAACCATAAGATCTCATGAAACTTACTCACTATCATGATGACAGCACAGGAAAAACCCGCCCCAATGATTCAATTATCTCCCACCGGGTCCCTCTCATTACGTGGGGATTATTACAATTCAAGGTGAGATTTGGGTGGGGACACAGAGCCAAATCATATCATTCTGCCCCAGCCCCTTCCAAATCTCATGTCCTCACATTTTAAAACCAATCATGCCTTCCCAACAGTCCCCCAAAGTCTTAGCTCATTTCAGCATTAACTCAAAAGCCCACAGTCCAAAGTCTCATCTGAGACAAGGCAAGTCCCTTCTGCTTATGAGCCTATAAAATCAAAAACAAGTTAGTTACTTTCCAGATACAATGGGGGTACAGGTATTGGGTACATATAACCCTTAAAAATGGGAGAAATTGGCCAAAACAAAGGGGCTACTGGCCCCATTCAAGTCCTAAATCCAGCACGGCAGTCAAACCTTAAAGCTCCTAAATGATCTCCTTTGACTCCATGTCTCACATCCAGGGCATAATGATGCAAGGAGTGGGCTCCCAAGCCCTTGGGTAGCTCCACCACTGGGGCTTTGCAGGGTACAGTCTTTATAGTTGCTTTCATGGGCTGGCATTTGGTGGCTGTGGTTTTTCCAGGCACACAGGGCAATCTGTTGGTGGATCTACAATTCTGGGGTCTGGAGGATGGTGGCCCTCTTCTTACAGCTCCACTAGTCAGTGACCCAGTGGGGACTCTGTGTGGAGGCTCCAGCCCCACATTTCCATTCTGCACTGCCCCAGCAGAGGTTCTCCATGAGGGCTCCAGCCTTGCAGCACACGTCTGCCCATGCATCCATGCATTTTCATACATCCTCTAAATCTAGGCAGAGGTTCCAAAACCTCAATTCTCGACTTCTGTGCACCCACAAGCCCAACATCATGTGGAAACTGCCAAGCCTTGGGGATTTCACCCTCTGAAGAAATGGCCAGGGCTCTACATTGGCCCCTTTTAACCACCTAGGACGCAGGGCACCAAGTCCTGAGACTGCACAAAGCAGCAAGTCCCTGGGCCTGGCCCACAAAACCATTTTTTCCTCCTAGGCCTCTAGGTCTGTGATGCAACAGGCCACTGTGAAGACCTCTGACATGCCCTGGAGACATTTTCCCCATTGTCTTGGCAATTATCTTTTGGCTCCTCATTACTTATGCAAATTTCTGCAGCTGGGTTGAATTTCTCCTCTGAAAATGGGTTTCCCTTTTATATCATATCATCGAGGTAAAAATGTTCTGAACTTTTATGCTCTGCTTCCCTTTTAAACATAAGTTCTAATCCAAAATCATATTTTATGAATACATAAAATTGAATGCTCTTAACAACATCCAGGTCACCTCTTGAACACATTGCTGCTTAGAAATTTCTTCCACCAGATGCCCTAAATCATCTCTCTCAAGTTCAAAGTTCCAAACATCACTAGGGCAGGGGCAAAACGCCACCAGTCTCTTTCCTAAAACATAGCAAGAGTCACCTTTACTTCAGTTCCCAAAAATTTCCTCATCTGCATCTGAGACCACCTCAACCTGGACTTCATTGTCCACATCACTATCAGCATTTTGGTCAAAACCATTCAACAAGCCTCAAGGAAGTTCCAAACTTTCCAACATTTTCCTATCTTCTTTTGAGCCCTCCAAACTCTTCAAAGCTCTGCCTTTTACCCAGTTCCAAAGTCACTTCCACATTTTCAGGTATCTTTACAGCAGCACCCCACTACCTGGCCTCAATTTACTATATTAGTCTGTTCTCATGCTGCTAATAAATACATATCAAAGACTGGGTAATTTATAAAGAGGTTTAATGGACTCACAGTTGCACATGGCTGGGGAGGCCTCACAATCATGGCAAAAGGCAAACAAGGAGCAAAGTCATGTCGTATATGGTGGCAGGCAAGAAAACATGTGCAGGGGAACTCCCCTCTATAAAACCCTCGGATCTTCTAGACTTATTTACTATAATAAGAACAGCTTGAGAGAAACCTGCCCCCATGATTTAATTACCTCCTCCCGGGTCACTCCCATGACATGTGGGGATTATTACAATTCAAGGTGAGATTTGGGTGGGGTCACAGAGCCAAACCATATCAGCACCTAACTATAGAGATTTATTTTGACATTCCATCTATATTTTGTCTGTTAGAAGGAGTTTATGTTCTGGATGTCAGCCTAGAAGTAGCTGTCATCTTGTCTCTCAAAGCATAAGGGTACTTCACCTGACACCTGATTTTGAGTACCCATTAACCAATTTAACCAATTGTATATGGTATAGCATAAAGTAGAGATGGCAGTTGTTAAGAAGGTTGCATACCTGCAGGAGGGATTAAAGATGTTACTTATCTGTTTATTTGCAAAACAGCAGTTTTAGGTCTACCAGGGCTTCACAAGGGTAGATAGTGGTGTCTTTCTCAGGTGACTGCAGGGACTCATATAAAACAGGTCCAATGGTGTAGCCATCTAGTATTTCCCTAAAGTTAAACAGCAGTGGTTGTGCTTAACAATATCCTCGTAGTACCCTTCCATTTTGGTTGTAATTGATCTTTGGGGCATTCTTTTTTCCAAGTTTTTAATAATACTTGAAGTCTCTTGGTTAAACAAGGGAGCTATGAATGTTTATGGAAGTGTTCCTGACACAGGTATATTGAACAAACATAAATGTAACATATGACTCTGTATATATTTGGGTGGAGACTTAATCCTTGCCTGGCATGGTCTTAGATCCAGTTTATAATTTGATATTTATTGTCATAAAGGGTCTGTTCTGTCAGTTTTATGATCTCTATTTTAATGTTAATGCTGAAAAGTTGTACCTGAATTACAAGGGAGCAAAGGTATAGGGATGTGGGTTCGACCCCCAGCTTTCCATCATGGCAAGAGCTAGTTTTTTCAGCTTTTTTCTTTTTTCTTTTTTTTTTTTTTTGGAGGGGATTCTCTTTGGCCTAGAGGGGTTTCCATTCTGTTGGAGGGCTTAGGATCTTATTTCATTTTATTTGTATAAGTTTATATTCCTCCTTTTTTGTCAAGGTAGTATTGATGGGCAAGCTTTTATTTTATCCCAAATCTATGTGCGAGTTGTGTGCTACCTGCCCCAGGCCAATCATATCCCTCAGAAGGAACCTGTGACCAAGAGACTTAAACTCAGAAGACTTATAGTCAATTAAACATTCTAGGCCAGATGGCAGTGGAGGTGGGCAGGCGCTCATTAACGTTAAAATCCTATTTAAGCAACATAAGAGCCAAAAATCAAAAGCCAAGAGGCAAGGATATAAAATTGATTTATCTATATATTCCATTCATTGAGCTACCATAATCTTGGCTTGTAGTAATTAGCTATATAAAACACAAGCATTTTGGCCAGCTGTTGAGGCATATGTGTGCCCATGCTTGATTTGGAAGGTCTGATTTAATGTTTTGCTCGAAACCAACCCTTACAATCTATATGACAGTCTCTAGGCCTGGAGGGGTTGAATAATTTGCAATTCTGGAGGCAAAAAAAAAAAAAAAAAGAAAAGAAAAACACACACAGAAGGAATTCACAATATTTTAAACAAAAAGGTTATAATCCCTTTCTAGTTTTGAAAATGACAGAAAAAAATCCCATCAGTAATCAAACATTTAAATTATTTATTATCAAGTCATATAATAAATTACATTAATTCAGACAGAGGTAAAATTATTAAATGAATCTTAATGTTTTTAATGCAGGCCTGTCTCTGTGTCTCATAAAAGTGGCTTCTTGTTTTTCTTTCTTTTTAATTTTTTCTAATTTTCAATTTTTGTGGGTACATAGATGTATATATTTATGGGGTACATGAGACATTTTGATAAAGGCATGGAATGTGAAATAATCACATCATGGAAAAATGGAGTATCCATCCCCTCCAGCATACATCATTTGTGTTACAAACAATCTAATTATACACTTTTAGTTATTTAAAAATCTGAAATTAACTTATTGACTATAGTCAGCCCATTGTGTAATCAAATAATAGGTCTTATTCATTTTTTCTATTTTTTAACCTCTTAATTATGCCCACTTCCCCATAAGACCCCCACTATGTTCCCAGCCTCTAATAACCATCCTTCTACTCTCTATGTCAATGAGTTAAATTGTTGTGATCTTTAGATCCCACAAATAAGTGAGAACACGTGATGTTTCTCTTTCTGTGCCTGGGTCATTTCACTTTACACAAAGACCTCCAGTTCTATCCATGTTATTGCAGATGGCAATGGATTTACATATGTTAAGCCATCCTCACATCTCTGGTATAAATCCCACTTTTTCATGATGAAAAATCTCTGAAATGCATTGTTGAATTTGGTTTACTAGTACATTGTTGAGGATTTTAGCATCAATATTCATCAGACATATTGACTGGTAGTTTTTTTTTTTATGTGTCTTTGTCCTGTTTTAATATCAGAGTAATATTGGCCTCATAGAATTAATTTGGAAGTACCTGCTTCTCCACCATTATTTAGAAAAGTTGGAGTAAGATTGGCATTAATTCTTCTTTAAATATTTGGTAGAAATCAACAGTGAAGGCATTGGGGTCCCAGGGCTTTTCTTTACTGGGAGACTTTTATTATGGCTTTGATCTTCTTACTTGTTATTGGTCTGTTCAGGTTTTGGATTTTTTTCTGGATCAGTCTTGGTAGGTTGCATTTGTCTAGGAATTTGTTCATTTTTAAATAGATTTTCCATTTTATTGGCATATACTTGTTTATAGGAGCCACTAATTATCCTTTGTATTTTTGCAGTATCAGCTTTAATGTCTTCTTTTTCATCTCCAGTTTTATTTATCTGAATCTCCTCTCTTTTTTCTTAGTCTGATAAAAGTTTTGTCAGTTTTATTTAACTTTTCAGAAAACCAACTTTTTGTTTTATTGATCTTTTATATAATTTTCTTTATTTCAAATTCATTTATTTCTGCTCTGATCTTTATTATTTTTCTTTCCTTCTACTAATTTGCTCTTGCTTTTCTAGTTCTTTAAAATGCATCATTAGATTGTTTATTTTAAGTTGTTCTTATTTCTTATGTAGGCACTTATAGCTACAAACTTCCTTCTTACTACTGCTTTGCTGTATCCCATAGAGTTTGGTATGTTGTATTTCCATTGCTATTTGTTTCAGTAGTTTTTCAATTTTCTGCTTAATATCTTCATTAACCCACCAGTCATTCAGGGGCATGTTGTTTAATTTCCATGTGTTTGTATAATTTCCAAAATTTATCTTTTTATTGATTTCTCATTTTATTCCATTGTGGTCGGAGAAGATACTTGTTATTATTTCAAGTTTTTAAAAGTTTTAGGACTTGTTTTGTGACCTACCATATCATCTATCCTTGAGAATAATCTATATGCTGATAAAAAGAATGTGTATTCTGCAGCTCTTGGATAAAAAGTTCTGTACATATCTATTAGATCAATTTTTTTCCTATAGTGCAGATAAAGTCTGATGTTTCTTTGATGACTTTCTGTCTAGAAGATCTGTCCAATACTGAAAGTTAAGTGTTGATGCCTCCAGTTACCATTGTATTGGAGCCTACCTCTCTCTTTAGCTTTAATAATATTTGCTTATATATCTAGGTGCTCCATAATTGGATGCATATATATTTAAAATTATTATATACACTTGCTAAATTGACCATTTTATCATTATATAGTGGTTTTTTGTTTCCTCTTAAAGTTGTCTTGAAATCTATTTTGTCTGATATAATTGAAGCTACTGTCATTCTCTTTTGGTTACCATTTCCATGAAATATCGATTTGCTTTCATTTATTTTCTGTTTATATGTGTCTTCTTAGGTGGCGTGTGTTTTTTGCAGGCAACAGAACAATGGGTCGTGTTTTTTAATACATTCAGCCATTCTATATCTTTTGATTGAAGAGTTTAGTCCATTTAAATTCAATATTATTATTGATAAGTAAAGACTTACTTCTGCCATTTTGCTATCTGCTTTCTAGTTGTTTTGTAATTTTCTCTTTTTTCTTTTCTTCCTGCCTTTCTTTAGCGAATGTACTTTTCTCTGGTGATACGATTTATTTTTTTTCTTTTTATTTTTTTGTATTCATTGTATGTTATTTGGTTTGAGGTTATTATGAGGCTTGCCAATATCGTCTTATAATCCATTATTTTAAGCTGATAATGACTTAAAACTGTTTGAATGAGGAGCAAACAAGGAATAATAAAACTACATCTTAACTTTGCCCTGTCATTTTTAAATCTTTTTTTAAATTTAAATCTTATTGTATTCTATATGTCTTGATAAGTTGTTGCAGTTGATTACTTATTGCTCATTAACATGTTTTTATTTCTTATCGAAGTGTTGGGAAAAAAGCTGAGGGTTGGGAAGAAAGCTGAGGCAGGGCTTGCATGACTGACATAATGTCCTCTGGAATGTGTCTAGACTTGCTGGCTCCTTGCTTCTAGCCCTCCTAGGCTCCTATTCCCATTATCTCAAGTAGCAGAACATGTTCCATATAAATGCTAAACCATCACAGCTGTAGATCATGCACCTGCCCTTTCAACCTCCATATTCTCACCACCTGTTTCTTTGTTGGATTACCAACAAATAGCATGGGCTCCCAGAGCTCGGGGACTTTGCAGGCTCCATAATCACGATGGCCTCCTGGTCCCACTTCTCTCTCTCAAACTGTCTTTTCTCAATCCTTTGACTCCATCAGACTTCATCACCCCCATGACCTGGTGTTGGGTCTGGCCACTCCAACATTCCTGGTGCCCAACATGGGGTGACAAAGAACCCAGTGAAGGAATGCCAGAGCATGTGAAAGTGGAGGACGCATCGTCAAAGGACACCCGAGGACATCTAAAAGAAGCTCGGTGGGAAAGCTGAGCACTCGGAAGAACCAGAGTAATAATGGGACAAAGTGAAAGCAGACATTCTGCTTATTTAAATTTCTTAAGGCATTTATTACGAAGAGAGGGAGTGAAAGTTAGTATTCAGAATTTGTTATCACTCTTTAGTGCAGTAAAGCAGTTTTGCCCACGGTTCCTGGAACAAGGGACTATGGAGTTGGATCAATGGGAGAGAATTGTCAGAGATTTTTTAAAAGTGTATAAAGATGGAGCAAAAATTCCAGTCTCAGTTTTGGTCAATGTGGGTGCTAATAAAAGCAGCTCTTGAGCCATTTCAAACAGATGATGAGGCAGATTCAGATGCGGAAGAGGAGGATGGGTGTAAAGAACTAAATTCAGATTCTGAATGTGAGGAACAGGAAATGGAGGAAATTAAAGAAAAGAAAGGGAAACTGAACAAAGTATGTTTTACTGCTGAATTAAGTGAAAGGCCACCTCCTCTCTCTCCCATTAATGGGTGAGAAGATGAATTAGCTACAAAACTTACTGCTCCTGTAGTTGCAACATTAAAACCTGGAGCCATTGGTGGTGCTATACAAAACTCTATTCAAAAGGCTAGAGCCAATGGAGATCTTGAAGCATGGCAATTTCCTGTAACTATAATCCAGCAGGGAGGACAGAATATAGCTAACTGGACTACCTTTCCTTTTCAACTGTTAAAGGAATTCAAGCAAGCCATTAGTCAATATGGGTAAAACTCTCCTTTTGTGCAAACTTTATTAAAAAATGTTTCTCTTGATAATAGATTAATATCATATGATTGGGATACTTTAACAAAATCTGTTCTCACTCCATCTCAGTAGTTGCAGTTTAAAACCTGGTGGGCTGATGAAGCTCAAACTCAGGCAAGGGAAAATAACAAGCACAACCACCTGTGCCTGTTTACTTTGAACAGTTAATGGGAGTCGGACCTGATTGGGGTTGACTAGAATATCAAGCAGTAATGGAGGATGTTGTCATTGCTCAGCTGTGCTCTGTATGCTTATGGGCATGGGAAAGGATAAATGTTACAGGGGAAAAATACTCTTCCTTCAGTTCTGTCCATCAGGGACCTAAAGAATCATATATTGATTTTATTGCTTGGCTCCAAGAGGTTGTGTATAAAGCCATAACTGATAAAACAGCTCAAGATGTTGTAATACAGCTTCTCACATATGATAATGCTAATGCAGAGTGTCAAACTGCTATTAGACCCCTGAGAGGGAAGTCTCATTTAGCTGAATATATTAAGGCTTGCAATGGCACTGGAGGTAACTTACATAAGGCTACTCTTTTAGCTCAGGCTATGGCTGGATTAAAAGCCAGAAAGAATATGCCCCATTTCTCAGGCTCTTGCTTCAATTGTGGGCAATTTGGGCACACAAAAAAGGAATGCAGAAAAGGAAGCCAAAAGGCGAGAGCTACTACCATCAAACAACAGAAAAGCCCCAGTGTATGTCCCCGTTGTGAAAAAGGCAATCGCTGGGCAAGTCAGTGTCATTCTAAAATTAGCAAAGATGGACAATCTCTCTCAGGAAACAGGAAGAGGGGCCCGCCTCGAGCCCAACAAACTGAGGCATATCCAGCATAGCCAGTGCCCTTACAAATGTTCAACAATTGTCCCCTGCCACAGCAGGCAGTGCTGTCACAGACCTCTGCAGCGTAATTCCCGTCTCCTTGCTTCCCAGACAGCCACAAAAAAAGGTCCCTACAGGAGTTGAAGGACCTTTACCCTCAGGAACCGTAGGTAGTCTAAATTTGAAAGGTATCACTGTGCATACGGGAATAATTGATTCTGATTATGCCAGAGAAATTCAATTAGCCATTATTTCCTCAACTCCATGGTCTGCCTCCCCAGGAGAAAGAATTGCTCAGTTGTTGCTGTTACCTTACATAAAACTAGGGAGCAGCACAGTGAAAAGAGCAGGAGGCTTTGGTAGTACTAATCCAGCAAGAAAGGCTGTATATTGGGTTAATCAAGTGTCTGACAAAAGACCTATTTGCACAGTAACTATTCAGGGAAAAGATTTTGAAGGACGAGTAGATACCGGAGCTGATGTCTCTATTATTGCTATAAATCAATGGCCCCAGCATTGGCCTAAGCAAAAGGCACCCATTGGTATTGCTGGAGTAGGAGCTGCCTCAGAAATTTTTCACAGTTCCTTGATTTTACCATGTCAAGGGTTGGATGGCCAGGAAGAGACAATTCAGCCTATTATTATACCTATTCCTGTTAATTTATGGGGTAGAGACTTATTGCAACAATGGGATGCTAAAATATCTATTCCTATGGATCAATATAGTAGTAATAGTAGACGAATGGTGAGAAATATGGGACAATGCCTGGGAAAAGGACTAGGAAAAGATAAAAATGGCAATCAGAACCTTTAAAATTAAAAGGACAAATAGATCAGACTGGATTGCGGTGTCATTTTTAGGAGCGGCCATTGTTGAGCCTCTGGCTCCCATTCCTCTTGTTTGGCTAACTGCCAAACCAGTTTGGATGGAGCAATGGCCACTGAAACAGGAAAAACTGGAGGCTTTAAAAGAGCTGGTACAGGAACAGTTGTAAAAGGGTCATACAGAGCCTACTTTCTCCCCTTGGAATTCTCCTGTATTTGTTATTGAGAAAAAATCAGGGAAATGGAGAATGTTAACAGATTTAAGGGCTGTCAATGCTGTAATTCAACCCATGGGTACACTACAACCAGGGTTACCTTCCTCAACAATGATCCCAAAATACTGGCCTCTCATAGTGATAGATCTAAAGGATTCCTTTTTTACCATTCCTTTAGCTGCCCAAGTTTATGAAAAACTTGCTTTTACTGTTCCCTCCATAAATAATAAAGAACCAGTGGACAGATACCATTGGAAAGTACTATGACAAGGCATACTAAATAGTCCGACTATTTATCAAACTTATGTTGGGAAAGCTATTAAGCCAGTTAGAGAACAGTTTAAAAAATGTTATATTACCCATTACATGGATGATATTTTGTGTGCAGCTAAAATAGGGAAGAATTGATGTTGTGCTACCAATAGTTAGAAAAGGCTGTAAATGTGGCAGGGTTTATTATAGCCCCCGATAACATCCAAACTTCTACACCCTTTCAATATCTAGGAATGAAGGTAGAGCAAAGTGCTATTAAGCCTCAAAAGGTTCAAATTCAAAGAGATAATTTAAAAACCTTAAATGACTTTCACAAATTATTAGGAGACATTAATTGGATTCGTCCAACTTTAGGGATTCCTAACTATGCTATGTCTCACCTCTTTTCTACTTTATGAGGTGATTCTAGCCTTAACAGTAAACGCTCCCTGTCCAAAGAAGCATTGGAGGAACTTCAATTAATTGAGGAAAAAATTCAGCAAGCACAAGTAGAATGAATTAATCTGATACAGCCATTACAGTTTTTAGTTTTTCCTACTAAGCATTCACCCACAGGAGTTATAGTTCAACAGGATTATCTGGTTGAGTGGCTCTTTCTACCTCACAATACAACCAAAATGTTCACTCTGTACTTAGATCAAATTGCTGTGCTAGTAGGACAAGCAAGGTTGCGCACAACAAAGCTAATGGGATATGATCCAAATTAGATTAAGTTCCATTAACTAAACAATAAATTCAACAAGCCTATGTTAAGTCTCAAGAATGGCAAGTTAATTTGGCAGGTTTTATTGGCATTCTTGATGATCATGATCCTAAATCTAAGATATTTCAGTTTCAAATATTAACATCCTGGATATTGCCTTCTATTACTCAAAAAGCCCCTATTAAAGGGGCCATTACTGTTTTTACTGATGGATCTCGTAATGGAAAAGCCTCATTTGCAGGACCTCAACAACAAGTTTTGCAAACTGACTTTGCTTCTGCTCAAAGGGCTGAACTTATGGCTGTGATAACAGTGTTAAAAACTTTTAAACAGCCAGTAAACATTGTTTCCAATTCAGCCTATGTAGGGCAAGTCACACAAAATATTGAATGTGCCTTAATTCAAAATGTGACTGATGAACAACTTAATTTTTTATTTCATTCTTTACAGCAAGTGGTACAACAAAGGCACTTACCTTTTCATATCACTCATATGAGAGCACATACTAACCTCCCTGGCCCTTTAACTAAACTTAAAGGGTGGATGCATTGGTGTCTGCAACTTTTGCTGATGCACAGACATTTCATTCTTTAACCCATCATAATGCTGCAGGCCTTAGAAAAAGATATGGTCTATCGTAGAAACAAGCTAAAGAAATTGTGCAACACTTTTCTGCCTGCCAAGTTCTGCATTTGCCACATCAAGGAACAGGAGTTAACCCTAGAAGTTTATCTCCAAATCCCATCTGGCAGATGGATGTAACACATATTCCTGCTTTTGGAAAATTGTCCTTTGTTCATGTTTCAGTAGATACCTATTCACATTTTATCTGGGCCACATGTCAAACAGGGGAGGCTACAGCTCATGTTAAAAGATGTCTTTTATCTTGTTTTTCTGTTATGGGAATTCCAGAAAAAATCAAAACTGGTAACAGCCCAGGATACTGTAGTAAAGCCATGGCTACATTTTTTCAACAACGGAATATTGCCCATACTATGGGTATTCCATATAATTCACAAGGACAGGCAATAGTGGAAAGAGCTAATCGTACTTTAAAAACTCAAATACAAAAGTAGAAGGCAGGAGACCAGGAACATAAAACACCGCATATGCAACTGCATCTAGCTTTATTAACATTAAATTTCTTAAATTTACAAAAAGATCAACCCATAACTGCGGTGGAATAACACGTGAAGGGCAAAAGGAAAATAAAAAGGCTGGACAAGATATATGTTGGAGGGATGCACGTACAAAGAGCTGGGAAAAAGAAAAGTATATGGGGAAGAGGATTTGCTTGTGTCTCTCCAGGTGACAATCAGGTGCCTGTGTGGGTGCCCACCAAATATCTGAAGATCTATCATGAGCCACAGCATCTAGTGGACCCACCTGTACAGTGCAAATTGAAGGTTTGAAAAGCCTCAATTTGCCTTCCCTGTGCCTTCGTTAGAAGGGGACTGTTTCTCATTATCAGTGGCCTCCCGGCTACAGCCACAAAAGTTTTTGCTTCTGTTTCAGTAGATTTACTAATGTGGGGGTGAGGGTATGCTTGTGTTTTTGCAGGAGATGAACTAACCATGTGGATGCCCTCTAGATGTGTACAACCATGGAATGGGAGACTGGAGGGACCCATGGATCCCAACCATGGACTGGGATCCCCTAGTATGAGCCATGAGCCAGTTGAATCTGAATGCGAAGATGGAACGAAGACCGACCAGAGTCATGATGCTTAATGGACCAATGCTTTCTGACTCAGTTCCTCTCTACGCTGTATAAAAGAGACCCTAATAGTTAGGCAGGAGTATCATCATCCCTACTCAGCATGAAGAAGTTACAGAAGATAGACCTTCATCCTTCTGCAACCTCTAGGATTAAGGGTCCTCTTGTAAAAGGGAAAGGGGAGATATGTTGGAAGCATTCAAACCAGAGTGACTCTAGCAATAATGATAGCTAGTAATAATGATAATAATAATGATACCTTCTCTTTTACAAAAAAGAGAAGGGGGGCATGTTGGGAAAAAAGCTGAGGGTTGGGAAGAAAGCTGAGGCGGGGCTTGCATGAATGACATAATGTCCTCTGGAATGTGTCTAGACTTGCTAGCTCCTTGCTTCTAGCCCTCTTAGGCTCCTATTCCCATTTTCTCAAGTAGCAGAACATGTTCCATATAAATGCTAAACCATCACAGCTGTAGATCATGCAGCTGCCCTTTCGAACTCCAACCACCTCTTTCTTTGTTGGATTACCAATAAATAGTGTGGGCTCCCTGAGCTGGGCCTTTGCAGCCTCCATGATGGCGATGGCCCCCTGGTACCACTTCTCTCTCTCAAACTGTCTTTTCTCAATCCTTTGACTCCACCAGACTTTGTTGACCCCACGACCTGGTGTTGGATCTGGTCACCCCAACATTGAAGAACTCCCTTTAGCATTTCTTGTAGAATAGGTCTTGTGTTGATGAAATTCCTCAGCTTTTGTTTGTTTGGAAAAGTCTTTATTTTTCTTTTATGTTTGAAGACGATTTTTTACAGATATACTCTTCTAGGGTAAAAGTGCTTTTCTTTCAGCACTTTAAATATGTCATGCCACTCTCTCCTGATTTTTAAAGTTTCCACTGAAAAGTCTGCTGCCGGACATATTAGAGTTTCATTGCATGCTTGTTTCTTTTTTATTGCTGTTCCTTTTAGGATACTTTCTTTATTCTTTGGGAATTTGATTATTAAATGCCTTGAAATAGTCTTCTTTGGGTTAAATCTGCTAGATGTTCCATAACCTTCATGTACTTGGATATTGATATCTTTTTCTAGCTTTGAGACGTTTTCTGTTATGATACCTTGGAATAAACATTCTACTCCTATCTCTCTACCTCTTCTTCAAGGCCAATAACTCTTAGATTTGCCTTTTTGAGACTATTTTCTAGATCCTGTATGTGTGCTTCATTGTTTTTACTTTTGAATTCTCTCACTTTGTATTTTCAAATAGCCTGTCTTCAAGCTCACTAGTTCTTTTTTCTCTGTGATTAATTCTGCTTTTAAAATACTTTGGTGCATTCTTCTCTATGCCAGTTGCATTTTTTTCAGCTGCAGATTTCTGCTTGATTTTTTTCCCCTGTGTTATCTTCAATTTCTTTGAGTTTCCTCAACACAGCTATTTTGAATACTCTGTCTGAAAGGTCAAATATCTCTTTTTATCCAGGATTGTTCCCTAGTGGCTTACTTAGTTCATTTGGTGAGGTCATGTTTTTTTGTAATGTCTTTATACTTGTAGATGTTTATCTGTGTTTGGGCATGAAGAATTAACATTTGTTATAGTCTTAAGTCTTGTACTGTTTATATTTGTTCTTCTTGGGAAGGCTTTCCAGATATTTGAAAGGACTTGGGTGTTGTACAGATCTAAGCTGTATCTGATTTAGGGGCCACACCAGGACCAATAATGCTGTGGCTCTTGCAGACTCATATAAGTACTGCCTTGATCCTTGATGATCTTGGCCAAGATTCAGAATTCTCTGGATTAATAGACTATTGTTCTCTTTCCTTTTCTCCAAGACAAATGGAGTCTCTCTCTCTCTCTCTCTCTCTCTCTTTCTCTCTCTCTCTCTCTCTCCCCCCTCTCTCTCTCCTCTCTCTCCTCTCTCTCCTCTCTCTCCTCTCTCTCCTCTCTCTCCTCTCTCTCTCTCTCTCTCTCTCTCCCCGTCTGTTTGTGTGTGTGTGTTCGGTTCCAGCTGAATCTTGGGGTGACAGAGGCTCCTTTGTGGCCATCATCATTATAACTTTGATGGGTCATACCTGTGGCCAGCACAGTACCTCAGCCAAGGCCTGCTGTAACCACTACTGCACACGGATGCCCAAGGACTACTACCCATGGTTTCTAAAGGGGACCTACAATCAGCAGGTGGCAAAGAAAGCCAGGCCTCTGTCCTTCCCATAAAGTGTGTTTCCTTTATGTCCTGGGTGGGTCCAGAGGTGCTATCCAGGAGCCAAAACTAGAGTGAAAAGCCTCAGATGTCTATCTGGTGTTCTATTTTATTGTGGCTGAGCTGGCATTCAAACCACAAGATACAGTTCACAATCTTCCCTACTTTTTCCAAAGTCAGAGGTGCCTCACCCTGTGGCCACTGCAACCACATGCCCAATGGAGAGTTACTGCCAGACTACCACTGCTGTTCCCTTAAGGTCCAAAGCCTCCTCGGTCACCTTTTAGAGAATGCTTTCTGGTCTGGGACTCACCCTTCACGGCAGTGGTCTCCTCTCTCACCCAAGGAAGTTCCAGAAATGCTGTAAATGCCAAGTCCTGGAGTCAGAATCCCCAAGATCCTGCTCGGTGCTCTACCCCACTGTGGCCAAGCTGGTAGCTAAGATGCAAGACAAAGTCCCCTTTACTTTTCCATTGCTTTTCTCAAGCAGAAGGAGTATTGCCCCATAGTCACTACAGCTGGCAATGTGCTGAGTCTCACCTGAAGCCAGCACATCTCAGAGTCTCACCCAAGGCCCTTGACATAGTACCTGGGTATTGCTGCTGGTTATTCGGAACCTATGGCTCTTCATTTAGCAGGTGATAAATCCTATCAGGACTGGATTATTCCCTTCAAAGCAGTAGGTTCCTTTCTGGCCCAGGACATGTTTAAAAATATCGTCTGAAAGCTAGGGCTTGGAATTATTGCCTCACAACTCTGATCAGTGTCCTATCCTGCTGTGGCTGAACTGGTAT
The DNA here is from genome assembly GCF_000001405.40 of Homo sapiens. Lineage (NCBI taxonomy): Eukaryota > Metazoa > Chordata > Mammalia > Primates > Hominidae > Homo > Homo sapiens. The sequence continues at coordinate 88,840,015 of NC_000023.11, read as the reverse complement.
CCAACATGCAAGACAAAGTCTTCCCCACTCTTTCTTCTCCTTTTTGTAAGTGATAAAATGGGAGCTCTTTTAGAGCTGTGAGCTGTGCAGCCTGGAGTTAGGGGAGGGATAATGCCAGCAATTTCTTTGTTACCCAGCTGGTGTCTCAGTAGGTCACTTACCTCCATAGTCTGCTGGTTCTGGGCCCAGTTCAGCACAAGGAAGTGCTTAAAAGTTGTAGTCCTTGTGGCCTAGACTGCCTTTCAACTTAGTTGAGAGCCCCAGAGCAGTTTAACCTGTGATGGAAAGGTTTGCAGAAACTCAAGTTTCTACCACTGGCATCAGTAATTTCCTGCTTGCTGTGGCTGGTTTAAATGCTGCCTCTGTGGGGACGCATCAGCTGCGTTTGGTCCAGCTTTTCTTTCTGCTGTAGCAGAACAGCACTGAGTTCAATGCCTCACAATTGTTGTGCTCTTCATTTCCCACTTCCTCAAAGAGAGATGCTCTCAGCACCAAGCAACTGCTGCCAGGGATGGGGGAGAGTTGGCATTGGTAATTCAAGATTGTTTTGTTTTCTACCTCTTCAATTTCTCTTTTTGCAATACAAAGTTAAAACCAGGTATTGTGAGTGCTAACCCGATTTTTTGGTTCTTATGAAGGTGCTTTTCTTTTGTAGATAGTTGTTAAATTGTTAAATTGATGTCCTTGTTGTGAGGGGAGGAATGATTCATGAAGCCTCCCCATTCTTTCTTCTTCTTCTGCCCCCTCAGTAGTCATCTGTTAAATTGGCACTATCTTATATATGGCAGCATTCATACAGCATTAATCTTTTATGTCTTTCTTCAGTTTCCTATGGTTGTTTTATCATAACAACACTGTAGAGTAGATAGGTCAACTATTCTCTCACTTTTTTAAGGAAAATAAACTAAATTCCAAATATATTAGTGGCATACCCAAGGTTACAGATAGTTGTTGACCGATTAATGGTGGCTAAGTTTAAAGGTAATATACAGTGTAATAGAATAGGAAAAGTTTATTTCTTATTCTTAAAGATGAATCATTTAGAACAAAAATTTTTGCTTTTTCTTTTAGAATATATATATGTGTGTATATATATGTATATATGTGTGTGTATATATATGTATATATATGTGTGTGTATATATATATGTGTATATATATGTACTGAAGCATATTCTCAAAATGTGCAAAGAGGCTGCAGTAATATTATAGATAATTAAAATGAGTCAAACTCTGATTTTGAGGAAAAAACATAGAGTAATGAAGACAATGGAAAGATTACAGCATATATACTAAGCCTAAAAGGCACAGCTATTAGGCCCCACAGATTGTTGGTAATAAAATAATGCAGGTGTGTGGCTTACAGATATTCTAATTTTTCCACATAGTCAAGACTTTTATGTGCAATATTCTACTCTTAAAATGCTGACATCGAATTTATATTTAAAATACTACTCAGGCCAACATTGCATGGGTGCAACCAAATGTCTTTTGGCAATCATCTTTATAAAGAAATAGAAACCATTATCTTTGGCATAAATAAAAAATATAAAATAAAAAGCTCACCTATTTAGGGTATTTTAAATAAAGATACAGATGCATCATCATGTCAAAGATTGAGTCACGTTCCTCAATGGCCCAACAGCCAGTTATATGAAAACCCCAATATCACTAAACTACAGGAATCTCAGAATACTAATAACATATCCAATTCTATTCTAGCCTCCCTGGGGTCAGATTAATGCAGTTGGAAAACTTCCAGGTCAGTAAGTAGAGTGAGAGAGAAAAAGAGAGAAAATAAGCAAAAAATTATCCCACCCAGGGTAAGTTGGCACACCAATACTCTAAAATATATAAGTAAATCTAACACTGTTGGGATTCACTCAGGATGGTGGCAGAAATATTAAAGGGAAATATTAGCTAAAGTTGTAGGGAATAGTCACAAACCTTTTTGGAAGGTTGAAAGGTTACATAGCTTGTAATAATTGAACAGGTTAAAGGCAGCCGGTTCTTACCTTAGAGCATTAGGTCATAGAGTAAATACTAGGGACAATAGAGGCTTCCCCAGTTAAGTCTGTTTACCCTACCTCCATTAACTAACCTTTGAGCCAGATGGCCCTGGGGCGGGCGGTTGTTGGGGGAAGGTTGACCAGGGATATTGCCCCCTAATGGCATTTACTTTAAACCCAGGTACCTGAGCTTTAATCATTCGTAGAACTACTCTCTTAACCATGTTAATTATCCACACGTGTGTTGACTCAGCGCTTCTGTTGTTAATTGTATACTAAATAAAAGCCTGGAGTGCAAACTGCTCAGGGCCGGCCACAGTGACAAACCTCTCTTGGTGTATAGGTGGTGGGACACTCAGCAGGACAGGCAAAACAGAATATCTGTGTGTCACTGTACATTTTATTCATCCGTCATTTGGGTCAGGGTCTGCAGGCAGACCCCTGCAGCTATGCCCTCTTGTGAGGAGCAATACCTCAAATGCTAAGAGAGATATACAACAAAATAAGAACACAACTTGACAGCAGGAAAAATCATAATATGATAAAATCTAAAAATTTTTTAAATGTTATGATTAGTGATAAAGTTGGGCTCTGTGTCCTCACCAAAATCTCACCTTGAATTGTAATCCCCCTAATACCCACGTGTCAAGGGTTGGACCAGGTGGAGGTAATTGGTTCATGGCAGTGATTCCCCCATGCAGTTCTCATGATGATGAGTGAGTCTCACGAGATCTGATGGTTTTTTAAGAGTCTGGCATTTCCCCTGCTTGCACTAATTCTCTATCTTGCCACCTTGTGAAGAGGTGTCTTCCACCATGATTGTAAGTTTCTTGAGGCCTCCCCAGCCATGTGGAACTGTGAGTCAGTTAAACCTCCTTTCTTTATAAATTACCCAGTCTTGAGTACTTCCTTATAGCAATGTGGGAACAGACTACTACATTAAATTGGTACTAAGGGTGGGGCATTGCTATAAGATACCTGAGAATGCAGAAGTGACTTTGGAACTGAGTAATGGGCAGAGGTTGGAACAGTTTGGAAGACTCAGAAGAAGACAGGAATATGTGGGAAAGTTTGGAACTTTCTAGAGACATGTTGAATGGCTTTGACCAAAATGCTGATAGTGATATGGACAATGTAGTCCAGGCTGAGCTGGTCTCAGATGGAGATGAGAAACTTGTTGGGAACTGGAGTAAAGGTCACTCTTGCTATGCTTTAGTAAAGAGACTGGTGGCTTTTTGCCTCTGTCCTAGAGATCTGTGGAACTTTGAACTTGAGAAAGTAATTTAGTGTATCTGGTGGAAGAAATTTCTAAGCATTAAAGCATTCAAAAGGTGACAGAGCATAAAAGTTTGGAAAATTTGCAGCCTGATGATGCAATAGAAAGGAAAAACTCATTTTCTGGGGAGAAATTTAAGCCTTCTGCAGAAATTTTCATAAGTAACTGGGAGCCAAATGTGATTGCCAAAAAAATTGGGAAAATGTCTCCAGGGCATGTCAGAGACCTTAGCGGCAGTCCCTCCCATCAAAGGCCTGGAAGCCTAGGAGAGAAAAATTGTCTCCTGGGCCGAGTCTAGGGCCTCCCTACTGTCTGCAGCCTCAGGACTTGGTGCTCTGCGTCTCAGCCACTCCAGCCATGGCTAAAGGGGGCCATGGTACAGCTCAGGCCATTGCTTCAGAGGGTGAAAGCCCCAAGCTTTGGCAGTTTCCATCTAATGTTGGTCCTACAGGTGTGCAGAAGACAAAAACTGAGGTGAAGGTTTGAGAACCTTCACCTAGATTTCAGAGGATGTATGGAAATGCCTGGATTTCCAGGCAGAAGTCTGATGCAAGGGTGAAGCTCTCATGGAGAACCTCTGTTAGGGCAATGTAGAAGAAAAATGTGGGGCTAGCGCCCCCACACAGTTCCCACTGGGGCACTGCCTAGTGGAGCTGTGAGAAAAGGGCCACCATCCTTCAGACCCCAGAATAGTAGATCCACCCACAGCTTGCCTTATGTGCCGAGAAAAGTGGCAGACACTCAATGTCAGCTATGAAAGCAGTTAGGAGTGCAGCTGTACCCTGTAAAGTCACAAGAGTGAAGCTGCCCAAGGCCATGGGAGCCCACTTCTTGCATCAGCATGATCTGGATGTGAGACACAGAATCAAAGGAGATAATTTTGGAACTTTAAAGTTTAATAATTACCCTATTGGATTTCGGACTTACATGGGGCCTGTAGCCCCTTCGTTTTGGCCAACTTCTCCCATTAGGGACAGGTGTATTTACCCAATGCTTGTACCCTCATTGTATATAGGAAGTAACTAACTTGTGTTTGATTTTACAAGCTCATAGGCAGAAGGGACTTGCCTTGTCTCATATGGTACTTTGGACTTGGACTTTTGAGTTAATGTTAGAATAAGTTTAAGACTTTGAGGGACTGTTGGAAAGGCATGATTTTGTTTTGAAATGTGAGGACATAAGATTTTGGGAGGGGCCAGGGTCAGAATGATATGGTTTGGCTCTGTATCCCCATCCAAATCTCACCTTGAATTGTAATCCCCATAATCTCCATTTGTCAAGAGTGGCACCACATGGAGGTAACTGAATCATAGAGGTGGTTTCTCCCTTGCTGTTCTCATGATAATGAGTGAGTCTCACCATATCTGATAGTGTTATAAGTGTCTGGGATTGCCCCTGTTTGCACCCATTGTCTTTCCTGCTGCCTTGCAAAGTGGTGCCTTATGCCATGATTCTAAGTTTCCTGATGCCTCTCCAGCCATGTAGAACAGTGAGTCAATTAAACCTCTTTCTTTATAAATTACCCAGTCTCAGGTATTTCCTTATAGCAATGTGAAAACAAACTATTACATTTAGGATACACCCAAAGTGATAATATGTGAACAAAAAATTATAGAATTTTATACAGGTAGCTGTACTTTACATTCTCTCTAAACCTCTCAGAAACCTTTTTGAGATAGATATCCTCTACATTTTACAGATAAGCAGCTATACCTTAGAAAACTACTTGTCCAAGAGATGCAAAACAAGGAATAGAATGCCAGTCTGTTTGACATCATACATGTTATGCACATTTTATTCATTGACTCTCCAGTGTGCTATTTATACAGAAATTCAAACAAGTACAGAAGAAATTCTATCATCATTTTATATTTAGCATTTTGCATCTTGAATCAAGTAAATCTGCTGCCTTAACTCACTAATGAAAAAATTATTTCTTTTTTTATATTTTATTTATTTTTATTTATTTATTTACTATTTCAATAGTTTTGGGGAAACAGGTGGTGTTTGGTTGCATGAATAAGTTCTTTAATGGTGATTTCTGAGATTTTGGTGCACCCATCACCCGAACAGTGTACACTGTACCCAATGTATAGTCTTTAATCTCTCACCCCCTCCCACCTTTTTCCCTGAGTCCCTAGAGACTGTTATATCATTCTTACACCTTTGCATCTTCAAAGATTAGATCCCACTTATATGTGAGAACATATGATGTTTGGCTGTCCACTCCTGAGTTACTTCATTTAGGACAATGGTCTCCAACTCCATCCAAGTTGCTGTGAATGCCATTATTTCATTTCTTTTGATGGCTGAGTGATATTCCATGTTATGTATAGACACCACATTTTCTTTATCCATTCATTGATTGATGGGCATTTAGGCTGGTTCCATCTTTTTGCAATGCAAATTTTGCTGCAATAAATATGTACATGCCAGTGTTTTTTTATATAATGACTTATTTTCCTCTGGGTAGATACCCAGTAGTGGGATTTCTGGATCAATGGTAGCACTACTTTTAGTACTATAAGGAAACTCCATACTGTTTTCAATAGTGGTTGTATTAGTTTAGATTTTCATGAGCAGTGGGGTGGGCGGGGGAGGGATAGCATTAGGAGATATACCTAATGTAAATGGCGAGTTAATGGGTGCAGCACACCAACATGGCACATGTATACATATGTAAAAAACCTGCACGTTGTGCACATGTACCCTAGAACTTAAAGTATTAAAAAAAAAAGTGTTCTGTTTTTACCTCACCCATGCCAACATCTAATATTTTTTGATTTGTTAATTATGGCCCTTCTTGCAAGACTAAGGCGGTATTGCACAGTGGTTTTGACTTGCATTTCCCTGATCATTATGATATTTAATATTTTTTCATATGTTTGTTGGCCACTTGTATATCTTCTTTTGAGAATTGTCTATTCATGTCCTTAGCCCACTTTTTTATGGGATAATTTGTTTTGTTTTTTCTGATTTGATTGAGTTCCTTATAGATTCTGGATATTAGTTCTTTGTTGGATGCATTATTTGTGAGTATTTTCTCCCACTTTTGGGGTTCTCTGTTTACTTTGCTGATTATTATTATTATTATTTTGCTGTGCAGAAACTTAACAAAAACATCAAGTGCAGTGAAGGACACTGTGATGGTTAATACCAAGTGTCAACTTGATTGGATTGAAGAATACAAAGTATTGATCCTGGGTGTGCCTGTGAGGGTTTTGCTGAAGGAGATTAACATTTGAGCCAGTGGGCTGGGAAAGGCAGACCCACCCTTAATATGGGTGGTCAGAATCTAATCAGCTGCCAACTCAGCTAATAAATGAGCAGGTAAAAAAAAATATGAAAAGAGAGATTGGCCTAGCCTCCCAGCCTATATCTTTCTCCCATGCTGGATGTTTTCTGCCCTTGAACATTGGACTCCACGTTCTTCAGTTTTGGAACTTGGACTGGCTCTCCTTGCTCCTCAGCCTGCAGATGGCCTATTGTGGGACCTTGTGATTGTGTGAGTTAATACTTAATAAACTCCCCTTTATTTATATATCTATTCCATTAGTTCTGTCCCTCTAGAGAACCTTGACTAATACAGATTTTGGTACCAGGAGGGGTTCTAGAGGAACAGAATATTAAGGATGGAGTTCTTTCACTGGTTTTGGGGTTTCTGGAGTTGGCTGCTTAATATGATTAGGCCCCCAAATGCTAAGAACTCTACTTCTAATAGTATGGAGAACACTGATAGTCCTTTGCATGAACTGTTTAGAGAGTTAGGCAAAATAAATGCATTTGACACTCCTGATTCATTGCCCATGAGAGGCAAGGAGTTTAGTGACTCTATACATAATACCTTTGACCATATATGGAGAACCAAGGAACATAATGAAGATGGTTGACTGCTCCTAAGTTCAGTGGACAAAGTGATGAAAGAAAATGATAAACTCAGGGATTCTATATCTGGGCTTCAGAAGCAGACACAGAGCCGCAAGTCTGCTAAGATTGTCCTGAGTGAGAGCCTTATCTCTTGTAGAGAAATAACTGAAACTGTGGAAAAAACAGACACAAGCTATTATCATGCAAGTGTCTGACCTGCAACAAAAGGTGCCTACACAGCCTCACCAGGTGTCCACTGATAAAGTGAGGGCATTGATTGGAAAAGAATGGGACCCTGCAACTTGGTATGGTGATGTGTGGGAGGACCCTAATGAAGCTGGGGACACTGAGTTTGTAAACTCTGATGAACCTTTTTTGCCAGAAGAAACAGCTTCCCCATCCTCTCCTCAACCCCTGCTACCATAAACCTTTCCACCTTTGTCTGAGGAGATAAACCCTTCACTGCCTGAGGCAACAGTGATGACCTCCCCTGAGACAGTTGCCAGGCAAGATAATGTTGATTCTCCTTAGGAGCCACCCCCAACACCCCTGTTTGCTTCTAAACCTATAACTAGACTAAAGTCCTGGTGGGTCACTAGAGGTGGGGTTAAGATTGTGACCCATGAGGAGGTGCACTACACTTGAAAAGACCTGCTTGAGTTTTCTAATTTATATAAACAGAAATCTGGAGAACAGGCATGAGAATGGATATTAAGGGCGTGGGATGATGGTAGAAGGAACATAGAGTTGGATCAGGCTGAATTTATTTATTTGGGCCCACTAAGTAGGGACTCTGCCTTTGATGTTGTAGCTTGGGGAGTTAACAAAGGTTCTAATAGTTTATTTGCTTGGTTAGCTGAAATACAGATTAAAAGATGGCCCATGTGAGTGAGCTGGAAATGCCTGATCTCCCTAGGTTTAATGTAGAGAAAGGGATCCAAAGGCTTAAGGAGATTGGGATGGTGGAGTGGAGTAGTAATTTTAGACCTACTCATCCCAGCTTGGAGGGTCCAGAAGATATACCCTTTACCAATGCCTTGCAAAATAGATTTGTGAGGACAGCACTTGCGTCTTTGAAGAGCCCTGTAATTGCTCTTCTCTGTATGTCAGATCTAACGGTGGGAGCCATAGTCAGTCAATTACAAAATTTAATTACAACGGAATAATTGGATCCCGAGGTGGCGAGGGCCAAGTGGTAGCACTCAGCCATCAAAGGCAAGGTGGGTGTAACTACCATAATGGACAGCAGAGGCAAAGTGGCAATCAGAATTGTCTCACTCGTGTAGAGCTGTGGCATTGGCTAATTAATCACAGTGCTCCTATAAGTGAAATTAATAGGAAGCCTTCTGGACTGCTACTTAATTTATACAAACAGAAAACTTCTAGGTCAAATGGACAAAAGACTAATTTGAATTATAAAAACAGAAAATCACAGCCTCTCGATCAATTTCCATACTCAAGCCAGTTTACAGACCCAGAACCCCTTGAATGAAGGGGAGGCCAGGTCCCTTGAGGAAGGACTCCACTACATTACCAACAATTTATGCAGTGAATCTTCCTCCCAACCTTCTGCAAGGAGACCTCTGGCCTTTTACCAGGGTAACTGTGCACTGAGGAAAGGGAAATGAATCAGACATATCAGGGACTACTGGACACCGGCTCTCAGCTTACGTTGTTTCCAGGGGATCCAAAATGTCACTGTGGTCCTCCACTTAAAGTAGGGGCTTATGGAGGACAGGTAATTAATGGAGTTTTATCTCAGGTCTGACTTACAGTGGGTCCAGTTGGTCCCCAGACTCATCCTGTGGTCATTTACCCAGTGCCAGAATGCATAATTAGCATAGACATACTTAGCAACTGGCAGAACCCCTACAGACACCCTATTAAGCAAATTGTACTGGAATAATTGGCAAGCTGTATGTAGCAGAGTGATACTGGATCCTTATCTCTAACCTTATAAAATAAGTCAACTCAAAATGGATCAAAGACTTAAATCTAAGACCTGAAACCATAAAAATTCTAGAAGGTAACATCAGAAAAACTCTTCTAGCCATTGGCTTAGGCAAAGAATTTATGACCAAGAACCCAAAAACAACTGCAACAAAAACAAAGAGAAATAGTGGGGGCCTAATTAGACAAAATTATTTTAATGTATCAATGAAAGCTTTCAACTTATTTTTCTCTATCCTTGTAAACATATATATATATACATATACTTTTTTCAAATGTATATAATTTGATCTTGGTTACTTCATGAGAAATAAACAATCCTGACAAATATTCACCAGGAAAAAAAAGGCAAACATAAAGCAAAAGCAGCCATTCAACAATACTATTCAGGTAACTGTGGCAACCATTAAATATCGGCAGTCAGGAAACTTTGGGCCAGATGAGCGCACAGTTGTACCCATGGTGCAATGCACAAATTGGCTGAGAGATGACAATGTGTGGATGGAACAAAAGCTAGCACTTATGACGGAACAACTGAATGAGCAACATGGAGCATCTCTACTCCATGGCTAGAATTTGAACGTGTATCTTGGAAACTCGATGATTCAGCAATTTAGTTACGATTGATATTGTTATAGCCTTCATTATCATCATCATTATTGTGTGCCTGATGTCATTATTTACATCATTTCACAAAGAGCTAATATTAATTATTGTGACACAAACTGCATTAAGTTCTTTACATATATTATCTAATTTAATCCTACAACAACCTCACTAAAATGAAGTATTTCAAGCTTGAAAATGAGAGTTTAAGGAGAGACTGAAAAAAGAAAATACTGAAGAAATACTATCATTTCAATTCTGTATTCCTCACAAAAAATATTTCTTTATTATTTGTGTCAAGTTCAAAAAAAATCAAGGAATTTAGCAAACAGAAATGATTTTCTTCTGTCAGAAAACCCCTACAAGTTATTCAGTGGATGTAGATAATGTGTGAATTTTAGTGAATGGTATTGCACATGTTATAGATAAATTCAATGATTTGGCTGGTAATTCCTTTCCCTTATGCATATAGAAAATATCTTGCTGGAATTGTGATAGGAACAAATATTAAAGATGTCAAGCTTACACGTGATTCTAGAAGAAAGAATCTATTAATGAAGAATACATGGGTGGTCAAGGTCCTTAATAAATGAATGTATAGTGAATGCAGAAATAATATCTCAAAAATGCTTGCTCATAATTTTGAATATAAAACTTTACTTTTATCTAAATAACACAGATGATCAAAATGGATCTATCTTCCAGAAATCAGAATGAGTATGTATTAAACTGATGGAAAATGCTCACATTCATTTGTGTCTTAGTCCATTTGTACTGCTATAACAAAGTACTTGAGACTCGGTAATTGTAAACATAAATTTATGTTCTCAGAACTCTGGAGGCTGGAAAGGCTAAGATCAAGTTTTCAGCAGGTTCAGTTTTCTGGTTAGAGCTTCTTTCTGCTTCCAAAGAAGTCAGAAGAGCACGTAAACCTAACACTGTTATGCCACTTTTAAAAGGGCCTTAAATTCCACTGATGGGGTAGCAGGCCTAATTATATAATAAAGGTCCTACCTGTTAATATTATCAAATTGTCAACACCCAAATTTTGGAGAGGACACATTCGAACAATAAAATCCATCTTCTGGCTTCCCAAAAATTCACGTCCTTCTCACATGCAAAATACATTTATTCCATTTAACTAGCCCCAAAATTCTTAACTAATTTCAACACCAACTTTAAAGTCTAAGTCCAACGTCTTAGCTAAATATCATATGAGTTCCACTCAAGGTACAATTCATCCTGAGGAAAAATCTCCCCCCAACTGTGAGCCTGTAAAATCAAACAAGTTATGTCTTTCTAAAATACAGTGGCAGTGTAGGCCAAGAACAGACATTTCCATTCCAAAAGGGAGAAATAGGAAAGGAGAAAGGAGAAACAGGTCATAGGTTAGTCCAAAACACAAGGCAAAAATTATTACATCTTGAGGCTTGAATAATCTTCTTTGTTCCATGTCCCACCTTCCATACAAGTTGCAGTGGGGGCAGGGTCCTTAAGGCTCCAGGTAAACTCACCCCTTTGTTGGACGCAGCCCATGACACAGCTCTCACAAGTTGCAGTGAGATACCTGTGGCTCTCCCAAGCTGACATTGCATGTTGGTGGCTCTAGAGGTCTCGGGTCTCAGGAGTGGCCCTAATCCCACAGCTCCACTCTAAGTATTGCTCGAGAGAGCTTTCTGCAACAACTCTGATCTGGTGGCAGGTCTCTGCCCAGACCCCAAAACTGTCTAAGACATTATTTGACATTTAAGTGAACCATGCCATGCCTCCATAGCTCATGCACTCTGCATATTTGTAAAATTAGCACCACATGGAGTTAGCACTCCATTAGCACCAAATTACCACCAAGGCTCATTACTGTGCCTTCTGAAGTGCTAGCCTCAGCCATGCCTAGGCCCACTTGAACTACAACTGGGGCAAGGAGCACTAGGCTAGAATGCAGGAAACAAAGACCTAAGGCAACTTTGTGACCCGGAAGTAGGTCATCTTTGAATGATTTAGCACCAGCTTAAGCACAAACATGTACTGCATAATGTGTGACAGTGCTGTCCCCTTTTAAGATCAAAGAACCAGCAGGTTCTATTGTCTGGTGAAGGCTACTTTCCTCTTCTAAAGTAATATGGAAGAGTAAGCTAGACAAACACTGCATAAAGCCTCTTTTATAAGAGCCTTAATCCCATCCTCAAAGGAGCACCCCTCATGGCCTAATCACCTCTTAAAGACACAACCCGATAATAAATTCTGCAACTCCTGAATTTAGGAGGGGAAACATTTAAACCATAGAAATCTACATATCAGTATCTCTCCCTGTGATTATGCCAATATTTTTTTTTATCATATAAACCAATATGAGAAGAAACAGTAGACAGCCAAATAATAGTCAAGGGGCAGCTTGAGACTAGGATTTATTTGCTAAACATGGAAAGCCTACTTGAAACAAAAATAGGATATGCTGAATAGACAGTCTTAGACCAATCAAATTCAAGTATCCGGAAAAATTATAAAGTATTTCAAGGAGAAATACTGCTTACATTATTATGCAGTGATAAGACTTCTCACTGTAAAGTTTTGTTTATTCAAAGATTCTTACTTAGCACAGTTGTGGAGTTAATATATTTACCTAGCATCATCTCAAGAAAAGGGTGTCATGGAAAATATATTTTAAGAGCTATGTACCCATAGATCAGAAACATAAAAATCTACCATCTCAGTATAATATCAACAAACTTTCATTTAGTGACAAACATCATTAGAAAATGATTGCTTTCAGATAACATTGTTTTTCAGTGCTAAAATTATTTCAAATAAAAACTATGTTTGTAAATATTAACAGTAAATTAAACTTTAAGGTGATAAAATACAATATTTTGAGGACTTATTAATGAATATAGAGAGGTTATATCTATAAAGATTTTTAAATAAGTCATTCTGTAAGATTATTTTACAAATTAAAATTATTGCTATTCATAAAAGAAATATCTGCCTAGGCTTAGGCAAATGATGTTTTTCTTTTACTCATGCTAATGAACTGCACTATTTTGATTACTTGTCTTAGTGTCGGATAAGTCGATGCTATTAAAAAGTGTATGTTAGCTTTACAAAATGAACTTTTGTGTGGGGTTTGCTGAAGAGTTGTTAGTTCCTTTGTAAAGATACTGAGTATGTGTTGTCACATATAATAACTATCTACTCACTGGGTAAGTAGTTTTTCAGGTACCCTAAGAGCTTCCTTAGATATCTATAGAGAAATTTAAACAATCTCACTCTTCTGACACTTAGGAAGACTATAAATGTAAATAAAATGTACACATAACTAATTTTGCCATCATGTCATTTTTTTTTACTGTTTATTTAGAATTTTAGTAGCTGTAAGTAAGACCAACAAGAACATTGGAATTCATGAGTCCTAAGTTTTAAGCTCATCTTTATTTCAAAAGATACAGTTAAGATAGTTTTCTTATTCTAAAAATATATCACTCACTTTTGTAAACATGTCTTTATGTGTCTGTGGACTCTGGTTCCTTCTATAGTGTTTGGCTACTAGTATATATTTGATTTTTAGGAAAAGCCATGTAGAATTTTATTTGAAAGTATACATAATAAAATATATAAGTTAAGCTTGAATGATAGAAACTGGTATCTTCAACGATTACATTTTGATGTTTTACAATTTTAATCATAAAACTTTAAGAAAAAATGAGGAAATAAAGCAATAACAGTGTATTTGAATTGGTAGTATCGATATAGGTTAAACTTATATTTCTGTAACTAAAATGGACAGCTAATTGTTTACTCCTGTATGACATGTAAGAATTACTCAGTTAGAAAATAATTGTTCAAGAGTGACATCAGCAATATGACAGACTAGGAGTCTACTGTCATGTTTTCACAGAAACATCAATTTTGGCAATCACAGATTGATGAGAGTGCTTGTGTGGGAGTCTAGGGTAGAAGTTCTAGCACACCACTGGATAAAAATAATATTTCAATAATAGATGCACTGAAGAGGATAGAAAGAACACCTTTACTTTACCCACACCACCACTCTTCTGAGGTGGCTCAGCTAATTGCCAATGGAGATAAACTCAGCCCACAATTTCTCTCACAGAGAAAAGTGAAAAGTGGGGGGG